>NT_187628.1:0-166743 GCF_000001405.40 Homo sapiens
GAATTCAAAATAGCTGTTTTTTGTTTGTTTTTTTGGCTTTTTTTTTTTTTTTTTTTTTTTTTTGGAAACAGAGTTTTGCTCTTGTTGCCCAGGCTGGAGTGCAATGGTGCGATCTCAGCTCACCGCAATCTCCACCTCCCGGGTTCATGTGATTCTCCTGCCTCAGCCTCCTGAGTACATGGGATTACAGGCATGTGCCATCACGCCTGGCTAATTTTGTATTTTTAGTAGAGATGAGGTTTCTCCATGTTGGTCAGGCTAGTCTCGAACTCCCGACCTCAGGTGATCTACCTGCCTCGGCCTCCCAAAGTGCTGGGAATACAGGTGTGAGCCACTGCACCCAGCTGATAATAGCTGCTTTGAGGAAACTCAATGATATCTAAAATAACACAGAGAAATAATTCAGAATCCTATCAGATAAATTTAACAATGAAATGGAAATAACTAATAAGAACCAAGCAAAGATTCTGAAGCAGAAAAATGTAATTGACATACTGAAGAATGCATCAAAGTCTCTCAAGAACAGAATTGATCAAGCAGAATAAAGAATTAGTGGTCTTGAAGATGGGCTATTTGGAAATGCCCAGTCAGAGAAGGCCAAAAAAAAAAGAAGAATGAAACACAACTACATGATCTAGAAAACAGCCTCAAAAGGGCAAATGTAAAAGTTATTGGTCTTAAAGAGGAGATAGAGAGAGAGAGATCAGGGTAGAAAGTTTATTCAAAGGGATAATAACAGAAAACATCTCAAACCTAGAAAAAGATATCAATATTAAAGTACAAGAAAGTTATAGAACACAAAGCAGATTTTACCAAAATAAGACTACATCAAGACATGTGATAATTAAACTCCCAGAGGTCAAGAATAAAGAAAAGATCCTAAAAGTAGCAAGATAAAAGAAACAACATACAAAGGAGATCCAATAAATCTACCAGCAGGCTTTTCAGTGGAAACTTTACATGCTGGGAGAGAGTGGTATGACATAGTTAAAGAGCTGAAGGAATTAAAAAACCTATCCTAGAATAGTACAACCAGCAAAAATATTCTTCAAACATGAAGGAGAAATAAAAACTCTCCCAGACAAAAACCTGAAGGATTTAATCAATGCCAGACCTGTTCTATAAGCAATGTTAAAGGGAATTCTTCATCCAGAAAAAAAAGGATATTAATGAGCAATAAGAAATCATCTGAAGGTTCAAAACTCACTGGTAATAGAAAGTACACAAAAAACGAAGAATAACATAACACTGTAATTCTGGTGTGTAAACTACTTATATGTTGAGTAGAAAGACTAAAATGTGAACCAATCAAAAATAATAACTACAACAATGTTTCAAGGCATAGGCAGTACAATAAGATATAAATAGAAACAATCAAAAGTTTAAAAACCCAGGAGATAAAGCTGAAGTGTGGAGTTTTTATTTTTGTTAGTTTTTTTCTTTGTTTGTTTGTTCCTGTAATCAGTGTCATCATTAGTTTAAAATAATGAGTGATAAGATATTATTCACAAGTCTCAGGGTAATCTCAAATTAAAAAACATACAACAGATACACAAAATATAAAAAGCAAGACATTAAAACCACCAGCAAAAATCGCTTTCACTAACAGGAAGACAGAAAATAAGGAAAGAAGAAAGAAAAGATCACAAAGCAAGCAGAAAACAAATAACAAAATGGCAGAGTTAAATTCTTACTTATAAATAATAATATTGAATGTAAATGGACTAAACTCTCCAATCAAAAGACTTAGAGTGGCTGAATGAATTTTTTAAAAAAAATGCCTGATGATATGTTGGCAACAAGAAACAAACTTCACCTATAAAGACACACGTAGACTGAAAATAAACAGAAAAAGATATCACATGCAAATGGAAACCAAAAAAGAGCAAGGGTCATTATACTTACATGGAACACAATATGTTTCAAGACAAAAACCATAAAAAGAGACAAAGAAGGTCATTATATAATGATAAGTGGCCAATTCAACAAGAATATATACAATTGTAAATATAATACGCACACAATACGGAAGCACCTAGATATATAATGCTAATTGGATTAGAGCTAAAGAGAGAGAGAGACCCAAATACAATAATAGCTAGAAGTTTCAACACCACACTTTCAACAATGGACAGATTATCCAGACACAAAATCAACAAAGAAATATTGGACCTAATCTGCACTGTAAACCAAATGGACCTCATAGATATGCACAGAACATTTCAACCAATGGCAGCAGAATACACATTCTTCTCCTCAGCACATTGATCATTCTTGAGGCTAGACCATAGGTTATGCCACAAAACAAGTCTTAAAAATTTCAAAAAAATTGAAGTTACATCAAGTATCTTCTTTGCCCACAAAAGAGTCAATCTAGAGGTCAATAACAAGGGGGATTTTGGAGACTATACCAAAATATAGAAATTACACAATATGTTTCTGAATGACCAGTGGGTTAATGAATAAATAAACAGAAAATTTTAAAACGTTTTTAAGCAAATAACAATGGAAGCACAACATATCAAAATGTGTGGCATACAGCAACAGAAGTACAAAGAGTAATTTTTTTTTATTATACTTTAAGTTTTAGGGTGCAAAGAGTAAATTTTAAGCCTATAAGTGCCTACATCAAAAAAGTATAAAAACTTCAAATTAACTATCTAATGGTGCATCTTAAAGAACTAGAAAAGCAAGAGCAAATTAAACCCCAAATTTGTAGAAGAAAGCAAATAATAAAGATCAATCAGAAATAAATGAAATTGAAATGAAAAAACAATACAAAAGGCCAATGCAATAAAATATTGGTTTTTTGAAAAGATAAAACTGACAAGCCTTTAGCAGACAAATTAAGAACAGAGATGGCCCAAATAAATAAAGTCAGAGCAAAATACAGAGAATCTAGAATAGATAGAGAAATTCTTAGACATAGATGTCTGCCTACCAAGAGTAAGCCATGAAGAAATTTGAAGCATAAATAGAGGCTGGGCACGGTGGCTCATGCCTGTAATCCCAGCACTTTTGCGAGACCAAGGTAGGTGGATCACTTGAGGGCCAGAGTTTGAGACCAGCCTGGCCAACATAGTGAAACCCCATCTCTAGTAAAAACACACACAAAAAATTAGACAAGCATGGTGACATGCAATTGTAATCCCAGCTACTCAAGAGGCGGAGGCAGGAGAATCTCTTTCATGTAGGAGGCAGAGACTGTAGTGAGCTGAATTTGCACCACTGCACTCCAGCCTGGGCAACAGAGTAAAACTCCATCTCAAAAAACAAAACAAAACAAAAAAAACACATAAATAGACCAATAACAAATAACAGATTTAAACCATAAAAGACTGTATCACAGCAAAGAAAAGCCTGGGACCTGATGAATTCTTTGCTGAATTTTAGTTTGAAGTTGGGTAGAGTGATGCCTCCAGCTTTGTTCTTTTAGCTTAGGATGCTATATTAGTCTGTTTTCATGCTGCTGATAAAGCCATACCTGAGACTGGGCAATTTTCAAAAGAAAGCAATTTAATGGACTTACAATTCCATGTAGCTGGGGAGGCCTCACAATCATGGTGGAGGGTGAAAGGCATGTCTCACATGGTGGCAGACAAGAGAAGAAGGTTGTGCAGGGAAACACCTCCTTATATAATTGTCAGATCTCATGAGACTTATTCACTGTCATGAGAACAGCACAGGAAAGACCTGCCCCTGTGATTCAATTACCTCCCACCAGGTCCCTCCCACAATACGTGGGAATTCAAGGTGAGATTTTGGTGGGGACACAGCCAAACCATATCAGATGCATTGGCTATTCAGGCTCTCTTTTGGTTCCATATGAATTTTAAAATAGTTTTTTTCTAGTTCTGTGAAGACTGTCAATGGTAGTTTAATGGAAGTACCATTGAACGTATAAATTGCTTTGGATAGTATGGTCATTTTAATGCTATTGATTCTTCCCATGCATGAGCATGGAATGTTTTTCCATTTGTTTGTATCGTCTCTGATTTCTTCAAGCAGTGGTTTGTAGTTCACCTCTCCTGTTCACTGTATTCCTAAGTATTTTATTATTTTTGTGGCAATTGTGAATGCGAGTTTGTTCGTGATTTGGCTCTTGGCTTAACTGTTGTTGGTGTATAGGAATGTTAGTGATTTTGCACATTGATTTTGTATCTTGAGATTTTGCTGAAGTTGTTTATCACCTTAAGAGGCTTTTGGGCCAAGACTACAGGGTTTTCTACATATAGGATTATGTCATCTGCAAACAGAAATAATTTGACTGCCTCTCTTCCTGTTTGACTGCCTTTTATTTCTTTCTCTTGCTGACTGCCTGGCCAGAAGTTCCAATACTATGTTGAATAGGAGTGGTAAAAGAGGGCATCCTTGTCTTGTGCTGGCTTTCAAGGGGAGTTCTTCCAGCATTTGCCCAGTCAGTATGGTGCTGGTTGTGGGTTTGTCACAGATGACTCTCATTATTTTGAGGTATGATCCATCACTACCTAGTTTATTGAGAGTTTTTAAAATGAAGGAATGTTAAATTTTATCAAAACACTTTTCTGCATCTATTGAGATAATCATGTGGTTTTTGTCTTAGTTTTTTGCCTTTGTTTACGTGATGAATCACATTTATTGATTTGCATATGATGAACCAACCTAGCATCTAGGGGATGAATCCTACTTACTCATAGTGAATACACTTTTTGATGCTGAATTTGGTTTGCCAGTATTTTTTTGGATTTTTTGAATTGATGTTCATCAAGGATATTGGCCTGAAGTTTTCTTATTTTGTTGTATCTCTGCCAGGTTGGTACCAGGATGATGCTGATCTCATAGAATGAGTTATGGATGAGTCCTCTTCTTCACTTCTTTGGAATAGTTTCAGTAGAGATGGTATCAGCTCTTCTTTGCACTTCTGGTAAATTTCAGCTGTGAATCTGTCTTACCCTGAGCTTTTTAAGGTTAGTAGGCTATTTATTACTACCTCAATTTGAAAACACACTTTTGGTCTGTTCAGGAATTCCATTTCTACCTGGTTCAGTATTGGGAAGGTGTATGTGCCCGTGAATTTATTCATTTCTTCTAGATTTTCTAGTTTGTGTCTATAGAGGTATTTATAATATTCTCCGATGGTTGTTTGTATTTCTGTGGGGTCAGTAGCAATATCTCCCTTATCATTTCTGATTGTGTTTATTTGAATCTTCCCCTCTTCTTTATTAGTCTAGCTGGTGGTCTAACTCTTTCACTTATTTATTCAAAAAAAAAGAAAACACCTCCTGAATTTGTTGGGGTTTTGAATGGTCTTTCATGTCTCTATCTCCTCCAGTTCAGCTCTGATTTTGGTTACTTCTTGTCTTCTGCTAAGTTTGAAATTTGTTTACTCTTTGTTCTCTAGTTCTTTTAGATATGATGTTGGGTTGTTAAGATCTTTCTAATTTTTTGATGTGGGCACTTAATGCTATAAATTTTCATCTTAACACTGCCTTAGCTGTGTCCCAGAGATTCTGGTAGGTTGTATCTTTTTTTCTCATTAGTTTCAAATAACTTCTTGCTTTCTGCCTTAATTTCATTATTTTCCCAAACGTTATTCAGGAGCAGGTTATTCAATTTCCATGTAATCATACGGTTTTGAGTTAATGTCTTAGTCTTAAGTACTAATTTAATTGTGCTGTGGTCTGAAAGACTGTCTGTTGTGATTTCAGCTCTTTTGCATTTGCTGAGTAATGGTGTAATTCTCATTATGCGATTAATTTTAGAGTAAGTAATATGTGGCAATGAGAAAAATGTATTTTCAGTTGTTCTGGGGTGGAGAGTTTGGTAGATATTTATCAGGTTTATTTTAATCCAAAGCTGAGTTCAGGTCCTGAATATCTTTCTTACATTTCTGTCTCAATGATCTAATATTGACAGTGGGGTGTTAAATTCACCCACTTTTATTGTGTGAGTCTAAGTCTCTCTGAAGATCTCCAAGAAATTGATTTACCAATATGGGTGCTCCTATGTTGGGTGCATATATATTTAAGATAGTTAGCTCTTCTTAGGTTGGTAATAACAAGCTTCTCCAAGCTAAAGGAGGATATTTGAAACCATTGCAAGGAAGCTAAAAACTTGAAAAAAGATTAGACAAATGGCTAACTAGAATAAACAGTGTAAAGAAGAACTTAAATGACCTGACGGAGCTGAAAACCATGGCACAACAACTTCGTGACGCATGCACAAGCATCACTAGCCAATGGGATCAAGAGGAAGAAAGGGTATCAGTGACTGAAGATCAAATTAATGAAATAAAGTGAGAAGTTTAGAGAAAAAACAGTAAAAAGAAACAAACAAAGCCTCCAAGAAATATGGGACTATGTGAAAAGACCAAATCTACATTTGATGGGTGTACCTGAAAGTAACAGGGAGAATGGAACCAAGTTGGAAAACACTCTTGAGGATATTATCCAGGAGAACTTCCCCAACCTAGCAAGGCAGGCCAACATTCAAATTCAGGAAATACAGACAACACCACAAAGATACTCCTCGAGAAGAACAACCACAAGACACATAATTGTCAGATGCACCAAGGTTAAATGAAGGAAAAAATGTTAAGGGCAGCCACAGAGAAAGGGCGGGTTACCCACAAAGGAAAGCCCATCAGACTAACAGCAGATCTCTCAGCACAAATTCTACAAGCCAGAAGAGAGTGGGGGCCAATATTCAACATTCTTAAAGAAAAGAATTTTCAACCCAGAATTTCATATCCAGCCAAACTAAGCTTCATTAGTGAAGGAGAAATAAAATTCTTTACAGATAAGCAAATGCTGAGAGATTTGTCACCACCAGGCCTGCCTTACAAGAGCTCCTGAAGGAAGCACTAAACATGGAAAGGAACAACCGGTACCAGCCACTGCAAAAACATGCCAAACTGTAAATACCACCAATGCTAGGAAGAAACTGCATCAACTAACAGGCAAAATAACCAGCTAACATCATAGTGACAAGATCAAATTCACACATAACAATATTAACCTTAAATGTAAATGGGCTAAATGCCACAGTTAAAAGACACAGACTGGCAAATTGGATAAAGAGTCAAGACCCATCAGTGTGCTGTATTCAGGAGACACATCTCACATGCAGAGACACACATAGGCTCAAAATAAAAGGATGGAGGAAGATCTACCAAGAAAATGGAAAGCAAAAAAAAGCAGGGGTTACAATCCTAGCCGCTGATAAAATAGGCTTTAAACCAGTAAAGATCAAAAGAGACAAAGAAGGCCATTGCATAATGGTAAAGGGATCAATTCAACAAGAAGAGCTAACTATCCTAAATATTATATGCACCCAATACAGGAGCACCCAGATTCATAAAGCAAGTCCTTAGAGACCTACAAAGAGACTTAGACTCCCACACAATCATAATGGGAGACTTTAACACCCCACTGTCAATATTAGACAGATAACAAGACAGAAGGTTAACAAGGATATCCAGGACTTGAACTCAGCTCTGCACCAAGCAGACCTAATAGACATCTACTGAACTCTCCACCCAAAATCAATGGAATATTCATTCTTCTCAGCACCACATCACACTTACTTTAAAATTGAAGCAAAGCACTCGTTGGAAGCAAAGCACTCCTCAGCAAATGTAAAAGAAAAGAAATCACAAAGAACTCTCTCTCAGACGATAGTGCAATCAAATTAGAACTCAGGATTAAGAAACTCATTCAAAACCACACAAGTACATAGAAACTGAACAACCTGCTCCTGAATGACTACTGGGTAATAACAAAAAGAAGGCAGAAATAAAAAAGTCCTTTGAAACCAATGAGAACAAAGACACAACGTACCAGAATCTCTGAGACACATTTAAAGCAGCATGTAGAGGGAAATTTGTAGCACTAAATGCCAACAAGAGAAAGCAGGAAAGATCTAAAATCAGCACCCTAACATCACAATTAAAAGAACTGGAGAAGCAAGAGCAAACACATTCAAAAGCTAGCAGAAAGCAAGAAATAACTAAGATCAGAGCAGAACTGGAGGAAATAGAGACACAAAAAACCCTTCAAAAAATTAATGAATCCAGGAGCTGGTTTTGTGAAAGGATCAACAAAATTGATAGACCACTAGCAAGACTAATAAAGAAAAAAAGAGAGAAGAATCAAATACAGGCAATCAGAAATGATAAAGGGGATATCACCACCAATCCCACAGAAATACAAACTACCATCAGAGAATACTATAAACACCTCTACACAAATAAACTAGAAAATCTAGAAGAAATGGATAAATTCCTAGACACATACACCCTCCCAAGAATAAACTAGGAAGAAGTTGAATCTCTGAATAGACCAATAACAGGCTCTGAAATTCAGGCAATAATTAATAGCCTATCAATCAATCAAAAAAAGCCCAGGACCTGATGGATTCACAGCCAAATACTACCAGGGGTACAAAGAGGAGCTGTTACCATTCCTTCTGAAACTATTCCAATCAATAGAAAAAGAGGGAATCCTTCCTAACTCATTTTATGAGGCCAGCATCATCCTGATACCAAAGCCTGGCAGAGACACAACAAAAAAAGAGAATTTCAGACCAGTATCCCTGATGAACATCGATGCAAAAATCCTCAATAAAATACTGGCAAACAGAATCTAGCAGCACATCAAAAAGCTTATCCAGCACGATCACGTTGGCTTCATCCCTGTGATGCAAGGCTGGTTTAACATACACAAATCAATAAATGTAATCTGTCATAAAAACTGAACAAAAACAAAAACCACATGATTATCTCAATAGATGGTGAAAAGGCCTTTGACAAAATTCAACAATGCTTCATGCTAAAAACTCTCAATAATCTAGGTATTGATGGGATGTATCTCAAAATAATAAGAGCTATTTATGACAAACCCACAGCCAACAGCATACTAAATGGGCAAAAACTGGAAGCATTCCCTTTGAAAACTGGCACAAGACAGGGATGCCCTCTCTCACCACTCCTGTTCAACATAGTATTGGAAGTTCTGGCCAGGGCAATCAGGCAGGAGAAAGAAATAAACGGTATTCAGTTAGGAAAAGAGGAAGTCAAGTTGTCCCTGTTTGCAGATAACATGATTGTATATTTAGAAAACCCCATTGTCTCAGCCCAAATCTCCTTCAGCTGATAAGCAACTTTAGCAAAGTCTCAGGATACAAAATCAATGTGCAAAAATCACAAGCATTCCTATACACCAATAACAGACAAACAGAGAGCCAAATCATGAGTGAACTCCCATTCACAATTGCTTCAAAGGGAATAAAATACCTAGGAATCCAACTTACAAAGGATGTGAAGGACCTCTTCAAGGAGAACTACAAACCACAGCTTAACAAAATGAAAGAGGACACAAACAAATGGAAGAACATTCCATGCTCATGGATAGGAAGAATCAATATCATGAAAATGGCCATACTGCCCAAGGTAATTTATAGATTCAATGCCGTCCCCATCAAGCTACCAATGTCTTTCTTCAAAGAATTGGAAAAAAAACTACTTTAAAGTTCATATGGAACCAAAAAAGAGCCTGCATTGCCAAGTCAATCCTAAGCCAAAAGAACAAAGCTGGAGGCATCACACTACCTGACTTCAAACTATACTACAAGGCTACAGTAACCAAAACAGTGTGGTACTGGTACCAAAACAGAGATATAGACCAACAGAACAGCACAGAGCCCTCAGAAATAAAACCACATGTCTACAATCATCTGATCTTTGACAAACCTGACAAAAACAAGAAATGGGGAAAGGATTCCCTATTTAATAAATGGTGCTGGGAAAACTGGATAGCCATATGTAGAAAGCTGAAACTGGATCCCTTCCTTAAACCTTATACAAAAATTAATTCAAGATGGATTAAAGATTCAAATATTAGACCTAAAAACATAAAATCCCTAGAAGAAAACCTAGGCATTACCATTCAGGACATAGGCATGGGCTAGGACTTCATGACTAAAACACTAAAAGCAATGGCAACGAAAGCCAAAATAGACAAATGGGATCTAATTAAACTGAAGAGCTTCTGCACAGCAAAATAAACTAACCATCAGAGTGAACAGGCAACCTAAAGAATGGGAGAAAATTTTTGCAATCTACCCATCTGACAAGGGGCTAATATCCAGAATCTACAAAGAACTGAAACAAATTTACAAGAAAAAATCAAACAGCCCCATCAAAAAGTGGGCAAAGGAAATGAACAGACACTTCTCAAAAAGAAGACCTTTATGCAGCCAACAGACACATGAAAAAATGTTCATCATCACTGGCCATCAGAGAAATGTAAATCAATACCACATGAGATACCATCTCACACCAATTAGAATGGCGATCATTAAAAAGTCAGGAAACAACAGGTGCTGGAGAGGATTTGGAGAAATAGGAACACTTTTACACTGTTGGCAGGAGTGTAAACTAGTTCAACCATTGTGGAAGTCAGTGTGGTGATTCCTCAAGGACCTAGAACCAGAAATACCATTTGACCCAGCCATCACATTACTGGATATATACCCAAAGGATTACAAATCATGCTGCTATAAAGACACATGCACATGTATGTTTATCGTGGCATTATTCACAATAGCAAAGACTTGGAACCAACCCAAATATCCATCAATGATAGACTGGATTAAGAAAATGTGGCACATATACACCATGGAATACTATGCAGCCATAAAAAAAGGATGAGTTCATGTCCTTTGCAGGGACATGGATGAAGCTGGAAACCATCATTCTGAGCAAACTATCACAAGGACAGAAAACCAAACACTATGTGTTCTCACTCACAGGTGGGAATTGAACAATGAGAACACTTGGACACAGGGTGGGGAACAACACACACCGGGGCCTGTCATGGGGTAGGGGGCTGGGGGAGGGATAGCATTAGGAGAAATACCTAATGTAAATGATGAGTTAATGGGTGCAGCACACCAACATGGCACATGTATACATGTGTAACAAACTGCACGTTGTGCACATGTACCCTAGAACTTAAAGTATAGTAAGAAAAAAGAAAATAAAATAAATCCTTAAAAAAATAAAAACCAAAATATGTATAAGAGAAGTATGGAAATAAATTCCTGTAGGAGAAAAGGTATTGTGTAAACTAACTGAATTATATTGTGCAACCTAGCTGAATTAAACATTAATTTTTTGACTAACTGTTACTCTAACTATTGTAGCTCACATATTACAATAATTTCTGGCTGCTTTTAAACTACATATATGATTCTGATAGAAGGAGAAACTTTCTGACATAAATACAGGTTACCCTTAAGCAACATGGGTTTTAACTGGGTGCGTCCAATTAGACATGGAATTTTTTTTCAACCAAACACAGATGGAAAATACAGCCTTCGTGGGATGTAAAACCTGCGCATACAGAAAGCCAAATTTTTATATATACAGATTCCACAGGGCCAAGTGTGAGGCTTCACCATGCATAGGTTTGGGTATTTGTGGACGTCCTGGTACCACTGCCCTGCGTATACTGAAGGTCGACTGTACTATGCATGAGAGACTTCCACTTTAAAATGGCATCTGGTGATATCCAAATTCCCCACAAAAGCATTTGTAAATACTCTGAAAAATGCAAAAATGTACAATGCTACAAAAATTTGGTCTGCAAGAATGTATTTACTTACTTACCTAAGGAAACCAAATTGAAAAATGAAATAAGTAGCCTTCCATGCCCTATTTGCCTGAAAATATGTCTTTGGTTCTCCTCAAACTTCACCCAAGTGCCATGGGAAACAGCACAGGACAACAGCTAAGAGTAAAGACTCTGGAGTGAGGCTGTGCTTGTAAGCATGAATCAGGTGCATTCGAGGTTGACATCCTGGTTTTATGGCAACTTGGTGCAAACACCAATGATACTATTTTTACAGAAGGTTAGAGAGGGGAGAAAAGAGAATTCATAGGCCCTTGAATATTTTCTACATATGGAAACAAATGACACATATTGTCTGGCTAACCAAAACCCAAAAGTTAAAAACAAAATATACATCTTTAAGGGTTAGAGAAAAGGAAACAGATAGGAATAGCCTTAGGAATTCAAAATTGGAGGAACAATGTAGATCATTGTGAGGTGGCTTCTTTTTTAGCAGTTAATTTGGATACATTAATCATAATCAACTCTCTTTAATCAGAAATTGGGATTTCCTGAGGACTTTTCATTAATTGCAAACCAGAGCAGTAGGCAAATTATTCTTCACTGCAGATCAGAGTATTCCTTTGTGGGTTATGTTCGTATCCCACAGAATGAAGTTCAAATAGAATTTTTACTGAATTTTGCTATCATATTACCACACATCCCCCATTAATTCATTACTGCTAATAGAATACATGTGTGTTCCTCAAATGGTAGACCATGAAATGACTGAGCTAATGAGTAAAACTGAGCTTCTACAGGTATAGCTGGGAGCATGCAGGGGAATGGTATAAGGGCTGTTGTTCTATTCAGCACAGAAGCAGTTAAGTCAGCTTCATATTCTCCTCTATTTTGCACTGGCTTTTAATGACATTAAATCAAATTATATTTTCTTAGAAGATTTAATGTTTAGCTTTTCTAATTTTACCTTCATAATGAAATTGTAGTAGGGCTGTGTGCAGTCATTTGGATAAAATTGAAAGTGCCATCAGTTATACACTCTAAACGAAATAGCAGCCTTTTTGTTTAACTTTAGTTAATGGTCTTATAGTTTCACATAAAAACTTTCTACCTCCTCTGTTGGAATTTGACTACAAGCTTTGAAACTACAAGCAAAGTTGCTTATCACAAATGGAGAATTCCCAGAAACAAAAGCTTATCTTAATGCAATTATTCAAATTAAAATGTTTGCATTTGATGACACACATATTTGAGGACAATCGCCCACCTTTTTTATGTTTACATTTAGTAATTCATGTCCTTTCTGTTTCAAGGCAGCTTCACTGGTACAGTGGTTTCCAGAATCACTTCTCACTTCCATTATGAACTTCTTAAAAACTCAGTAAGAGGAGCAGCCTTACGCAGAGAAAGGCACCAGTGTGAAACTCACTGACCAAAATGTTTTTCAGGTTCTGAAGCTACTAAGCAGACATCATTGCCCAAATTCTTAAGTTCTCCAAGGCTCTTGTTTCTTCAACTATGAGACTAAGTACCAATAGTAATTATTAGTGATGTTGTTACTGTCATTCTGAAAATAATAGTAAGTAGCTAATATTTACTGGGTATTTGCCATGTGTCACATTGTGAGCTGGGCACTTGTCTCTGTAAGATCTCATTTCATTACCGTGAGAGCTTTATATACAGTCAATGATTTCTTCATTTTACTGATGAAGATATTGAGGTTCAGAGAGGTTTGGAAATTTATGTAAGCTCTCACAGCTAGCAAAGGTCATAACCAGAAAACTAAATAAGGTCTGAATTAAGAATAAAAGACATTGAAAGACGCTTTAAGTCCTAAAATTCAGAGTAAAATAGGAGTCACTGACTGAATTTTAACTTTACGTAAAATATGAAAATTATACTTATGAAACATCCATATTTCTAAAAATAATTTCCTGTTGGAACATCTTTATAATTATATACAACATAGTTTAATTTATAAACTTATTTTAGATGTACAGCTACCATTTGAAAGGAGAACGACCTCTAATTTTTATATGAAATACCATGCAGTATAATATTACTTCTTGTTAATTTTCAATTAACAATTTTCCTTTTTTAAATCATGTCTCCAATTATTGTCTGTGCCCTTTTTCGGCTGTGCAACTGAAATCTTTGACTGAAGTGTAATTTCATTATTTGTAAAGGCAGAAACAATGGAACTGTCTGTGCTCATATTAATTTTAGTAGAGCGTGCACTCTAAAATATTTAGCCAGAGCAACAAAGTTTATGTCAATCCTAGTTATTATCAGCCTAGAAATCTCTTGGAACTAGAATCCATTGTAAAGTCAAATTAAAGGTTTCTGTCTCTTGGTAAAGCAGGACTCTCTCACTTATTACATTTCAAAGAACAATAAACTGCTTATATAATTTTCTTCACACCATGTTGGAACTTATCCTTATGCCTTTGCTCACACTGAGTTGGGCTTAAAATATTTCCTCCTCCTTTGTAAAGTCTTAGATATCCTTTCATTTATTCTTTAAGACTCATCTTTGTGTCACCTTCTAAGACATCTTCTTTATTGCCCTACTAAAAACCACATATACCTACTCCCAGGCAAAATGATGCCCCTTTATAAAGATCTTTATTGCTGCACATATGGTATTACGGTACAATTAACAGTTTATATGTCATTCTTCCTTACAAGACAGAATATTGTTTCAGGAAGGTTTTTTGTTTTTTAAGTGACAGCCTCTCTATGCACCTAGGCTGGACTGCAGTGGTTACTCATGGGGACAATTATGGGACATTATATTCTTCACATCCTGAGCAAACTGATGCTCCTGCCTTGGCCTCTGGAGTAGCTAGAACTGCAGACATGGATCACCATGACTGGTTTCAGGTAGCTTTTGAGTGTAGAAGAATAACCCAATAGTTGCCTGATCTAGGCTGCCTTTTTGGCCTATTCTTCATCAAGCTGTGGGTCAGAGTGGGCATGAGTCCTTGCTTAGATCTCTATGTGTATTACTTCTGGGGCACAGTTCTACTTATGGTGACGGAGGAACAATCAATAAATCAACCTGCACTGCACAAGCACATTTTGTACAACTGCTTTCATCACATCTGCTAACATTGTTTTGGCAAAGCAAATCATATGAACAAACACAACATCAGGGTGCAGCCCCAGAGGAGGCTGTGAGTGCATATTATCATGACAAGGAAGTGAAGAGTTGTGACCAATAGGTCAAATACTATAGAATAACAACCAGTTCTCATTTATCTTTATGTGTATATCCAGTGCCTGGGACTATACTTGACCATTGTGAGTCCTCAAGACATGTATGAAGAATGAATGCTCTGACACTGCTGATAGTGTTCCCACACTCATTCGTTCTGTGAGGCATACTCCAAACCACATCAAACTACCAAAGATTTGAAACACAGGATGTTGAACTCCCCAATTATATTTATCGAGACATTCAACAGCTTCCAAACAGAAATACAAAGATAGAGATTTTCATACAGTAAACTGTTAGGTTATAATTTGGGCAGAAGAACATAAAGTTGTAGCCTTAGACATGGAATTTATTCATTTCCGTTTGTGGTATATTGTTTTCCAAAATGCCTACAACGATACCTCCTTTCCCATGTGTGCCTTTGCAATAGGACCATGCCACCCATCCCAGCAAGGGGTACAGTCTGTTTCTACCTTCCTTCAATCTAGGATATCCTTGCGACTTGCTTGACCAGTAGAATGTGGTGGAAGTGACCCTATGCAGTTATGGGTCTACGTCTTAAGAGGTCTTGCAATATTTTTCTAAGAGGTCTTGCAATATTTTTCTTAGTTTCTGCAGAATTTTATCTTTTACATAAAGAAACACAGGCAAGACAACTGAATAATGAGCAACCATGTGAAGAGAGCCAAGACACATGGAGGAGGACCAAAAGACCCTACCAGCATTCACCACCAGTAGACCATCTTGGATCCCTTGGCCCCAGTTGAACTTTTTCAGCCAATACCAGGTGAAACAGAGACAAGCCGTCCCCTCTGAGCACTGCCTGAATTCCTCACCCACAGAATCATGAGTAATAAAACAGTTATTTTAAGTTTCTAAGTTTTGGAGTGGTTTATAATACAGCAATAGGTAACTAAAAGAGCTCAAAACTACTCCTAAAAGAACAGAGAAAATTGATACTGAGAACTCTGACATAAACCAGCTGGAATCATTTTAAAAATAACTGTTACAGAATTGCCACATCTGAAATAATGAACATTTTGAATTGATTCCTAAAAAAATAAGCACAGAAAATTTCAGACTAAAAGATAGCCAACCTCCAAGTATTTCTTGTCTAAACATGAATATATGGATATAAATATTGTTCACTTAGACTTTTTTAGAAAAATCATCAAAATGTCAAAGCATTTTAAACATTAATAAATATGATATAAATAATATATTTAAGTATATTATAATTTAAAGTGTTTTCACTTTTGTATAATCTTTGTTCCATTAAAAAAAACCTTCAATTTCTATAAACATTTAAACTCATATAAAAATAGTTATTAGTAAGTAAGTCAACTAGGAGATGGATTCCCAGCAAAATTCAACTAGCTATTTCTGGGACAGTCCACTGATAATATGAACTTAAGATCAACTGATCTTCTGAAAGGTACAATTTCAAATCAAGCAGAAGAGGTAACAGTTTTTAGGAATTCTTTTTTTTCCAATTTAGTGAGATAAAAATGCGCTCATTTAGATGCCAAAATCATTTAAAGCTTGTGTAATGAATGTAAAAATAAATACACTCTAAGACTGAATTCAATTCCACCTGAATATATTACAGGGAGAATATGTCACATCCAATATTGAGGGAAACACGAAGCTTCTTAGGAAATGTAAATATTTCTACTTTAGCAAGTCTAATCTCATTCATCATCATCAGTGTGTCCCCTCCACCCCAACCAAAAAAGAAGAAGAAGAAGAAATAGTTTGGAAAGAGTCCAAAGATCATTCAAAGTGAACCAAAAAAAATCCTATTAATTTTGCATTTTGCAAAAAGGAGGGAAGAGCCAAGATGGCCGAATAGGAACAGCTCCGGTCTACAGTTCTCAGTGTGAGCGACGCAGAAGACGGGTGATTTCTGCATTTCCATCCGAGCTTTGAAGAGAGCAGTGGTTCTCCCAGCACGCAGCTGGAGATCTGAGAACGGGCAGACTGCCTCCTCAAGTGGGTCCCTGACCCCTGACCCCCGAGCAGCCTAACTGGGAGGCACCCCCCAGTAGGGGCAGACTGACACCTCACACGGCCGGGTACTCCAACAGACCTGCAGCTGAAGGTCCTGTCTGTTAGAAGGAAAACTAACAAACAGAAAGGACATCCACACCAAAAACCCATCTGTACATCACCATCATCAAAGACCAAAAGTAGATAAAACCACCAAGATGGGGAAAAAACAAAGCAGAAAAACTGGAAACTTTAAAAAGCAGAGCGCCTCTCCTCCTCCAAAGGAACACAGCTCCTCACCAGCAACGGAACAAAGCTGGATGGAGAATGACTTTGACGAGCTGAGAGAAGAAGACTTCAGACGATCAAATTACTCCGAGCTATGGGAGGACATTCAAACCAAAGGCAAAGAAGTTGAAAACTTTGAAAAAAATTTAGAAGAATGTATAACTAGAATAACCAATACAGAGAAGTGCTTAAAGGAGCTGATGGAGCTGAAAACCAAGGCTCGAGAACTACGTGAAGAATGCAGAAGCCTCAGGAGCTGATGCAACCAACTGGAAGAAAGGGTATCAGTGGTGGAAGATGAAATGAATGAAATGAAGCGAGAAGGAAGTTTAGAGAAAAAAGAATAAAAAGAAATGAGCAAAGCCTCCAAGAAATATGGGACTATGTGAAAAGACCAAATCTACGTCTGATTGGTGTACCTGAAAGTGACGGGGAGAATGGAACCAAGTTGGAAAACACTCTGCAGGATATTATCCAGGAGAACTTCCCCAACCTATCAAGACAGGCCAACGTTCAGATTCAGGAAATACAGAGAACGCCACAAAGATATTACTCAAGAAGAGCAACTCCAAGACACATAATTGTCAGATTCACCAAAGTTGAAATGAAGGAAAAAATGTTAAGGACAGCCAGAGAGAAAGGTCGGGTTACCCTCAAAGGGAAGCCCATCAGACTAACAGCGGATCTCTCGGCAGAAACCCTACAAGCCAGAAGAGAGTGGGGGCCAATATTCAACATTCTTAAAGGAAAGAATTTTCAACCCAGAATTTCATATCCAGCCAAACTAAGCTTCATAAGTGAAGGAGAAATAAAATACTTTACAGATAAGCAAATGCTGAGAGATTTTGTCACCACCAGGCCTGCCCTAAAAGAGCTCCTGAAGGAAGAGCTAAACATGGAAAGGAACCACCGGTACCAGCCACTGCAAAATCATGCCAAAATGTAAAGACCATCAAGACTAGGAAGAAACTGCATCAACTAACGAGCAAAATCACCAGCTAACATCATAGTGACAGGATTAAATTCACACATAACAATATTAACTTTAAATGTAAATGGACTAAATGCTCCAATTAAAAGACACAGACTGGCAAATTGGATAAAGAGTCAAGACCCATCAGTGTGCTGTATTCAGGAGACACATCTCACGTGCAGAGACACACATAGGCTAAAATAAAAGGATGGAGGAAGATCTATCAAGCAAATGGAAAACAAAAAAAGGCAGGGGTTGCAATCCTAGTCTCGGATAAAATAGACTTTAAACCAACAAAGATCAAAAGAGACAAAGAAGGCCATTACATAATGGTAAAGGGATCAATTCAACAAGAAGAGCTAACTATCCTAAATATATATGCACCCAATACAGGAGCACCCAGATTCATAAAGCAAGTCCTTAGAGACCTACAAAGAGACTTAGACTCCCACACAATCATAATGGGAGACTTTAACACCCCACTGTCAACATTACACAGATCAACGAGACAGAAAGTCAACAAGAATACCCAGGAATTGAACTCAGCCCTGCACCAAGTGGACCTAATAGACATCTACAGAACTCTCCACCCCAAATCAACAGAATATACATTTTTTTCAGCACCACACCACACCTATTCCAAAATTAACCACATACTTGGAAGTAAAGCTCTCCTCAGCAAATGTAAAAGAACAGAAATTATAACAAACTATCTCTCAGACCACAGTGCAATCAAACTAGAACTCAGGATTAAGAATCTCACTCAAAACTGATCAACTACATAGAAACTGAACAACCTGCTCCTGAATGACTACTGGGTACATAACGAAATGAAGGCAGAAATAAAGATGTTCTTTGAAACCAATGAGAACAAAGACACAACATACCAGAAACTCTGGGACACATTCAAAGCAGTGTGTAGAGGGAAATTTATAGCACTAAATGCCCACAAGAGAAAGCAGGAAAGATCCAAAATTGACACCCTAACATCACAATTCAAAGAACTAGAAAAGCAAGAGCAAAACACATTCAAAAGCTAGCAGAAGGCAAGAAATAACTAAAATCAGAGCAGAACTGAAGGAAATAGAGACACAAAAAACCCTTCAAAAATTAATGAATCCAGGAGCTGGTTTTTTGAAAGGATCAACAAAATTGATAGACCGCTAGCAAGACTAATAAAGAAAAAAAGAAGAATCAAATAGATGCAATAAAAAATGATAAAGGGGATATCACCACCGATCCCACAGAAATACAAACTACCATCAGAGAATACTATAAACACCTCTATGCAAATAAACTAGAAAATCAAGAATAAATGGATAAATTCCTTGACACATACACCCTCCCAAGACTAAACCAGGAAGAAGTTGAATCTCTGAATAGCCCAATAATAGGATCTGAAATTGTGGCAATAATCAATAGCTTACCAACCAAAAAGAGTCCAGGACCAGATGGATTCACAGCCGAATTCTACCATAGGTACAAGGAGGAACTGGAATCATTCCTTCTGAAACTATTCCAATCAATAGAAAAAGAGGGAATCCTCCCTAACTCATTTTATGAGACCAGCATCATCCTGATACCAAAGCCGGGCAGAGACACAACCAAAAAAGACAAATATCCTTGATGAACATTGATGCAAAAATCCTCAATAAAATACTGGCAAAATGAATCCAGCAGCACATCAAAAAGCTTATCCACCATGATCAAGTGGGCTTCATCCCTGGGATGCAAGGCTGGTTCACTATATGCAAATCAATAAATGTAATCCAGCATATAAACAGAACCAAAGACAAAAACCACATGATTATCTCAATAGATGCAGAAAAGGCCTTTGACAAAATTCAACAACCCTTCATGCTAAAAACTCTCAATAAATTAGGTATTAATGGGACGTACTTCAAAATAATAAGAGCTATCTATGACAAACCCACAGCCAATATCATACCGAATGGGCAAAAACTGGAAGCATTCCCTTTGAAAACTGGCACAAGACAGGGATGCCCTCTCTCACCACTCCTATTCAACATAGTGTTGGAAGTTCTGGCCAGGGCAATTAGGCAGGAGAAAGAAATAAAGGGTATTCAATAAGGAAAAGAGGAAGTCAAATTGTCCCTGTTTGCAGACGACATGATTGTATATCTAGAAAACCCCATTGTCTCAGGCCAAAATCTCCTTAAGCTGATAAGCAACTTCAGCAGTCTCAGGATACAAAATCAATGTACGAAAATCACAAGCATTCTTATACACAAACAACAGACAAACAGAGAGCCAAATCATGAGTGAACTCCCATTCACAATTGCTTCAAAGAGAATAAAATACTTAGGAATCCAACTTACAAGGGACATGAAGGACCTCTTCAAGGAGAACTACAAACCACTGCTCAATGAAATAAAAGAGGATACAAACAAATGGAAGAACATTCCATGCTCATGGGTAGGAAGAATCAATATCGTGAAAATGGCCATACTGCCCAAGGTAATTTACAGATTCAATGCCATCCCCATCAAGCTACCAATGACTTTCATCACAGAATTGGAAAAAACTACTTTAAAGTTCATATGGAACCAAAAAAGAGCCTGCATCACCAAGTCAATCCTAAGCCAAAAGAACAAAGCTGGAGGCATCACACTACCTGACTTCAAACTATACTACAAGGCTACAGTAACCAAAACAGCATGGTACTGGTACCAAAATAGAGATATAGATCAATGGAACAGAACAGAGCCCTCAGAAATAACGCAGCATATCTACAACTATCTGATCTTTGACAAACCTGAGAAAAACAAGCAATGGGGAAAGGATTCCCTATTTAATAAATGGTGCTGGGAAAACTGGCTAGCCATATGGAGAAAGCTGAAACTAGATCCCTTCCTTACACCTTATACAAAAATCAATTCAAGATGGATTAAAGACTTAAACGTTAGACCTAAAACCATAAAAACCCAAGAAGAAAACCTAGGCATTACCATTCAGGACATAGGTATGGGCAAGGACTTCATGTCTGAAACACCAAAAGCAATGGCAACAAAAGACAAAATTGACAAATGGGATCTAATTAAACTAAAGAGCTTCTACACAGCAAAATAAACTACCATCAGAGTGAACAGGCAACCTACAAAATGGGAGAAAATTTTCGCAACTTACTCATCTGACAAAGGGCTAATATCCAGAATCTAGAATGAACTCAAACAAATTTACAAGAAAAAAAAAAACAACCCCATCAAAAAGTGGCCAAAGGACATGAACAGACAATTCTCAAAAGAAGACATTTATGCAGCCGAAAAACACATGAAAAAATGCTCACCATCACTGGCCATCAGAGAAATGCAAATCAAAACCACAATGAGATACCATCTCACACCAGTTAGAATGGCAATCATTAAAAAGTCAGGAAACAACAGGTGCTGGAGAGGATGTGGAGAAATAGGAATACTTTTACACTGTTGGTGAGACTGTAAACTAGTTCAACCCTTGTGGAAGTCAGTGTGGTGATTCCTCAGGGATCTAGAACTAGAAATACCATTTGACCCAGCCATCCCATTACTGGGTATATACCCAAAGGACTATAAATCATGCTGCTTTAAAGACACATGCACATGTATGTTTATTGCAGCACTATTCACAATAGCAAAGACTTGGAACCAACCCAAATGTCCAACAATGATAGACTGGATTAAGAAAATGTGGCACATATACACCACGGGATACTATGCAGCCATAAAAAATGATGAGTTCACGTCCTTTGTAGGGACATGGATGAAATTGGAAATCATCATTCTCAATAAACTATCGCAAGAACAAAAAACCAAACACCGCATATTCTCACTCATAGGTGGGAATTGAACAATGAGAACACATGGACACAGGAAGGGGAAAATCACACTCTGGGGACTGTTTGGGGTGGGGGGAGGCTGGAGGGATGGCATTGGGAGATATACCTAATGCTAGATGATGAGTTAGTGGGTGCAGCGCACCAGCAAGGCACATGTATACATATGTAACTAACCTGTACATTGTGCACATGTACCCTAAAACTTAAAGTATAATAATAAAAAATAAATTTAAAAAATAAAGGTGAAAAAGACACAAAGGAAAAAAATATTTTGCATTTTGACTATAGAATTAGCAACAGGAAGGCATTTTAATTAAGGTTACACTCATTTCATATTATATTTTCTAATC
Source organism: Homo sapiens (assembly GCF_000001405.40). Classification (NCBI taxonomy): domain Eukaryota; kingdom Metazoa; phylum Chordata; class Mammalia; order Primates; family Hominidae; genus Homo; species Homo sapiens. The sequence continues at coordinate 22,263 of NT_187628.1, forward strand.
TGTTATTGTTATGAGGCATATGTGCTCCTGGCAATATGGTGAAGAGAATCTCTCTGAATATTGATCTTTCTTCCTGAGGGAAAGTGCTCATGATTTCTATGGCGAGACTAGTGGGGGCCATGGAGTGAAGTGGCACAACGAAGAGTTAGAACCGTATACAGAAAAAAAATTACAACTTTCATAGCAGATAAGACATCTAAAGCCTAGTGACAGTAAACAACATATTCAAGATCACCCAATATTAGTAATTAAGTCAGCAACAATGACAAGACGGGAACTTGAAAGAAAATTTATCATGACATAACTCACACACCTCTTAACTGAAGTGGCCTTATAAAGGATTAGAGCTAAATAGCCACCTGTTGTTTGAGCAGTGAGTTAAAGGAGAGCAGTACTTTGCTGAAACAATGGCTTAAGGAAGCAGTGATGTACATCTTCAAATAACATGCTGTGGCTGTGTCTGGCAGGGAAACAAGCGAATGATAGGCTGGCTTGCACACTACATTCAAGGATGAGTGGATCTTTCTGTTTTTGTTTTTGTTTTTTTGAGATGGAGTCTCGCTCTGTCGCCCAGGCTGGAGTGCAGTGGCACAATTTCTGCTCACTGCAAGCTCTGCCTCCCGGGTTCACGCCATTCTCCCGCCTCAGCCTCCCGAGTAGCTGGGACTACAGGCGCCCGCCACCACGCCCGGCTAATTTTTTGTATTTTTAGTAGAGACAGGGTTTCATCATGTTAGCCAGGATGGTCTCGATCTCCTAACCTCATGATCTGCCCGCCTCGGCCTCCCAAAGTACTGGGATTACAGGCGTGAGCCACCGCACCAGGCCGGATGAGTTGAAAGTTTTCTAAGCAAAGCTTTCAACTATCCACAGCAACTAAACAGAGAAGTCAAGACACAACCACGCACTACAAAAAGCCAATATCGTTGACCATCATGAAATCATTGTTATATGAGTACCAAATATGGAAAGACTCTAGGGCGTGCTTTCTACTTTCTTGCTCCTTTAGATGAGGTGTGACCATGTGACTGGCATTCACCAAGAAATACAAATAGAAGTGGCATGAAATACTTTGGGGCAGAAATTTTAAGTGTCAGTATGCAGTTTGCATAAGAGAATGAATTCACTTTGATAATGCATAAAAATAGCAAGAATTCTAGCAACCCGAGAGGAAAAGTCAATGATCTCTAACTATTGAGTGATAAAAGCTGTACTTGATGCAAGCCTATTAATAGAGGGTGAGAATTAGAAGACAGGTACACAAATATGACATCGAACTACAGAAGGCAGTGGGACAAGAACACTATAGAATGAAAAAGTGAATCAGGAGAACAAAGGGAACAGGTATTCAAACAAAACCAGATTCAAAGTTTGAGAAAATTGTGTCTCTTTATAAGATGAAATACAAATTTTATTAGAGCTCCAAGATTATTAATTATACTTGTTTACAATTAGGCTTCATCACATAATGTAGGATTTCCTTTTTAAAAATTATTTGTAGAAATTTATAGGGTACAAGTGCAATTTTCTTACATGGGTAGATTATGTAGTGGTGAAGTTAGAGCTTTTACTGTATCCATCACCCAAATAGTGTACATTGTATCCATTAAGTAATCTCTCATCATCCACCCTCCTTTCATCCCTTCGCCTTTCCAAGTATCCATTGTCTATCATCCATCACATCACACAATGTAGGATTTCTCTTGCTACCGTTAAAGTCCACTCCAGAGCAAGACCCTGACACTAAAAAAAAAAAAAGTCAGAAAAGAAATAAAAAAGAAAAGTTACAAATATTTATCCACTTTCCAATGGCTGTTCAAAGTTATACTGCCCAGAGTAAGCAAACCAGAAAAACAGCATCAGGTATATGGTGTTGCTCTGCCCAAATTTGTTTCTGTTGGTGTGGTGCACCTCATGAAATAGATGGCCTCTAGAGCACTTGTCAGTTTTAGAACATGATGGATCTAGATTTCACTAATGAGGTATTCCAGAAGCTGAATATATCAGGAGTCTTATCTCACAGATATGTATATATTTATAATTGCTTTAGTTTGATCTAGTGCTTACTATCATGTTGGCTACTATGTACTGTCTGCTAGCTTTCAAGTTCTGTATTCACTTGAAATGCCCATCTTATAAAAGCAGTGGTATATTATGACATACAATGATTTTAGGAAACTCCACTGAAGAAATAAATTTAGAATTCTGTCATGTAAGATTTTAAAAATCAAAAACTACTGGGGCTTTTCCTAGAGATTATCATTATTCCTTTTTATTAATAATAACTTCTAGCCCTTATGGACTGTATTACTATGTTCATGTTCAGCTAGACAATGGTGAGGTTGAAATCTAAAGACATTTTTCAAAGGAAGACTGTGCTCTTTTCTTTATAGCACACTGCCTCTATTTTATTAAGCAAGGGTAACTAAAAGGTTGTCTTACAATCTTACAAAAGATGGTCTGTCAGATTCCTTCCCTTATTCTTAGCCAATTCTAATTGTGGTAGATTTGTTTTTGTCTGGTGGGTTTTATGTTTTTTATTTACACCTCTTTGTTCTTGGTTTCATTATCAATAATTTCTTAAATTTGGAGGAGGTCAGACAGTTATCTAGCCTCTGGGGACTCAACTATGGTCCCTTCTCTCAATGATTTTAAGATGTGGTGAACAAATTCACTACCTGGTGAAGCTAAAGTGCAGGATTTCTTCACTGTTCTCTGAGTATGCATGATTGTCAGATATATCAACTTTCAGATAATGAACACATGGCACCATTGTTGTCTCTGAGACTTGAGGATGAGGTGAGGAAAACCATCAATAGTGGTTGAATTTCTACGATTCCAGGATTCCTATAAACCATGGACGAGATGTCGTAGAGAGGGTATAAGTGGAGGGCAGGATGTAGAGTTCCACTTGTATGTGAAACTCTGAGCTTTTGACTCCTGATACATAATTGGATATAAACAGCTTTTCTATTTGTAAAGGGGAAGGCATTAGGAGCTTTTCAGTAAAGACTTGCATGTCTAAAAAAGAAAATGGGGGAAGTATTTTTTGGTCCAAAACACCACAAAAAATAAAAGTAATAACTTTCAAACAGGATTAATATGAGTTATGTCTACAGAAGAAGAGAGGTGACTAATAAATTTTACACCTCAATGTACTCTCTTATTTTAATATGAATGTGTAGTATATATGGCTTTCTCACAGGATTCTCACAACACATCTTCAATGTTCACTGAGGACTTCTTGCTTGTTTTTATTATTATTATTATACTTTAAGTTTTACGGTACATGTGCACAATGTGCCAGTTAGTTACATATGTATACATGTGCCATGCTGGTGTGCTGCACCCATTAACTCGTCATTTAGCATTAGGTATATCTCCCAATGCCATCCCTCCCCCCTCCCCACAACAGTCCCCAGAGTGTGATGTTCCCCTTCCTGTGTCCATGTGTTCTCATTGTTCAATTCCTACCTATGAGTGAGAATATGTGGTGTTTGGTTTTTTGTTCTTGCGATAGTTTACTGAGAATGATGATTTCCAATTTCATCCATGTCCCTACAAAGGACATGAACTCATCATTTTTTATGGCTGCATAGGATTCCATGGTGTATATGTGCCACATTTTCTTAATCCAGTCTATCATTGTTGGACATTTGGGTTGGTTCCAAGTCTTTGCTATTGTGAATAGTGCCACAATAAACATACGTGTGCATGTGTCTTTATAGCAGCATGATTTATAGTCCTTTGGGTATATACCCAGTAATGGGATGGCTGGGTCAAATGGTATTTCTAGTTCTAGATCCCTGAGGAATCGCCACACTGACTTCCACAAGGGTTGAACTAGTTTACAGTCTCACCAACAGTGTAAAAGTATTCCTATTTCTCCACATCCTCTCCAGCACCTGTTGTTTCCTGACTTTTTAATGATTGCCATTCTAACTGGTGTGAGATGGTATCTCATTGTGGTTTTGATTTGCATTTCTCTGATGGCCAGTTGATGGTGAGCATTTTTTCATGTGTTTTTTGGCTGCATAAATATCTTCTTTTGAGAAGTGTCTGTTCATGTCCTTCACCCACTTTTTGATTGGTTGTTTGTTTTTTTTCTTGTAAATACAGACAAGCAAATGCTGAGAGATTTTGTCAGCACCAGGCCTGCCCTAAAAGAGCGCCTGAAGGAAGCACTAAACATGGAAAGGAACAACCGGTACCAGCCACTGCAAAATCATGCCAAATTGTAAAGACCACCGAGGTGTGTTTTTAATTGATGGGATAAAGTAGGTACAGAGAACGAATAAGCACATGGAATTGCAAAGGTTGCTTTGAAGCATGCTCTATTAACTGCCTATTATATATAATTTCAAATGGAGTTGGAGGGCCATAAAATCCTATAAGCAACTTTTAATTAAATTTAATCTATAATTAATTCATAATTTAATTCATATTTTAATAGGACTGATTTTAGGCTTCATATTTATAGAAAACAATAAAAATTGTGATTAATATAGGGAAAAAATGATCAGAAGAAGGCCAAAGATAACATCCATTGCAAAGGCATTTTTGAGAAGAAGACTGTATAACATCCATGCAAAAGAGCTCATAAACACTAACTGCATAACTAGTGTTTAAAATAAGAGGTTTAGAGAAGCCAAATAAATAATTTCCAAGTAGAAGGGGCGGAAAAACTTCATTTATAGGGTGCCAGGATATTAGTCTGGAATCAACATGTAGAAAATCCCAGACAAGGATATGAAGAAGATTGTTAACACGAGGCTATTTAAGAATGGAGAAAAAAAAAAAAAAAGAACTCCCTGTTAGGTAAAAATTTTCCTTTCCTTAGGGTATTAGAGTGGCCAGTTAATTATCTGCCCTCTTCATCAACTTTATAAAACATTTTTTGAGTCCTTACTAGGACCAGCACTTATGCTATGATAGGATCACATTGATTGTGTCATTTAGTATTAACAATAGCACTTGCAGATCGTAACTGTCATTATCTCTCCATTTTTCCCGGTGAGGAAACTAAAGCTTTAAGATATTTCTAAATACTCAAGCTTGATAATGTATTTTTATAATTTTATGACAATAATAGCACAAAAAAAGTGTCAGGAAATGGAGCTATAGTGAAACAAATTTTTTTTTTTTTTTTTTTTGAGTTGGAGTCTCACTCTGTCACCCAGGCTGGAGTGCAGTGGTGAGATCTCAGCTCACTGCAACCTCTGCCTACCAGGTCCAAGCGATTTTCCTGCCTCAGCCTCCCAAGTAGCTGGGAGTACAGGCGCGTGCCACCACACCTGGCCAATTTTTTGTATTTTTAGTAGAGAGGGAGTTTCACTGTGTTACCCAGGATGGTCTCGATCTCCCGACCTTGTGATCTGCCCGCCTCATCCTCCCAAAGTGCTGGGATTATAGGTGTGAGCCATGTCGCCTGGCCTAGTGAAACAAAATTTTTGTACAATTTTGAAATGAAGTTTGTATTAATCCAAACTGGGTATTTGAAAGTTATAATTATTAAATATAAGCTCTAGGGCAACTAATAACAAAATATCTTTTAAAATATAGTAAAAGAGGCAATAAGGAAATTGAAGTGATATACTAGAAAATGTCTATTTTTAAAAAATAAGGCAGCAATGGAGGAATCGAGGAACAAAAAAGACATGAAACACAAACCAATACCAACATGGTGAACATAAATCCAACCTTTCCAGTAAAAGCATTAAATGCAAATGGATGAAACACTTCATTCAAAGGACAGAGACTGACAAAACAAATAAAAGCAAAAATGATCTAATTATATACTATCTACAAGAGACACACATTAGATTCAAAGACATATAAATTGAAATTAAAGGATGAAACAGTGTATATCATGCAAATAGTACACAAAAGAGAACTCAAGTAGCTATATCAACATAAATCATTCACACACTCTTCCAAAAAAAAGATGAGAAACACTTCCCAGTTTATTTGACCAGTATTACCATAATACCAGTCCAAAGAAATCATAACCCAAAAAAATAAATAAAATAGACTGTAAAAGAAAAAGTGAAACCAGAGACAAAAATGGGCATATTGTAATGATAAACAGGCAAGCCATCTGGAAGACAAAGCAATTAAAAACATGTATGCACTAATGAAAGCACCTCAAATACATGAAGCAAAAAAAAAAACCAGTATTGAATGGAGAAATGAACAATTCAACAAAACAATTTATGACTTTAATACCTCACTTTCAGTAATGGGTAGAAAAACTAGGCAAAATATCAGCCAGGAAACAGATGCTTGAACAATACTGTAAACCAACTATATCTAACAGAAATATATAGAATATTGCCCAACAACGGCAGAATACACATTCTACTTAAATGTGCATGGAACATTCTCTGTTATAAACCACATGTTAGGTCATAATCAAGCCTCAATAAATATAAAATGATTAAAATCACACAAAGTGTGTTTCTCAACCATGATGGAATGAAATTAGAAACCACCTACCAAAATAAATTTGGGAAATTCACAAATATGTAGAAATTAAACAACATCCTTGTAAAAGAAGGGTCAAAGAAGAAATCTCAGGCAAATTACAAATATTCTGAGATGAATGAAAACAAAAACAAAACATCACCAAAATTTACAAATGCTGCTAAAGTAGTCCTTAGAGGAAAATTTACAGTTGTAAATGCCTGTGTTATAAAGAAAAGTTCTTAAATCAATAACAGTCTTCTACCATAGGAAACCAAAAAAAATATATATAAAAAAGAGTAAACTAAAACCAAAGCAAGCAGAAGGAAGGAAATAATAAAGATGCAAGCAGAAACAAGTAAAATAGATAATACAAAAAACAACTTTAAAAATAAACAAAATCATATTTGCTTTTTTGAAAAAGCCAACGTTGGCTGGGTGTGGTGGCTCATGCCTGTAATCCCAACACTTTGGCAGGCAAAAGTGGGTGGATCACTTGAGGCCAGGAGTTCAAGATCAACCTGGCCAACATGGTGAAACCCCATCTCTACTAAAATACAAAAATTAGCTGGGCGTGGTGGCACATGCCTGTAATCCCAGCTATTGGGAAGGCTAAAGCAGGAGAATCGCTTGAACCAGGGAGGCGGAGGTTGCAGTGAGCCAAGATTGCACCACTGCACTCCAGCCTGGGTGATACAATGAAACTCTGTCTTGGAAAAAAAAAAAAAAAAAGAAAAAGTCAACACTGGCAAACCTTTAGCTAGAGTGACCATGAGAAAAATAGAAGATTCAAGTTATTAAAATCAGGAGTGAAAAAGGGACTTCACTGCCAAACTTATAGAACTTTTATTTTTAAAGATTATAAGAGAATGATTTGAACAATTGTAAGCTAAAAAAAATTTGATAACCTAGACGAAATGGACAAATTTCTGAAAAGATGCAAAATTGATTCTAAAAGAAACAGAAATCTGAGTAGATCTCCACAAACTCTTCCAAAAAAAAAAGATGAGAAAACACTTCCCATTTTATTTTATTTGACCAGTATTACCATAATACTAAACCAAAGAAATCACAACAACAAAGAAACCCACAGACCAATGTTTCTTATGAACATTAATGCAAAATCTTCAAATGCCAGCAAACCAAAGTGACACTTAAAAAAAGTTATATACCATGACTAACTGGGATTTAGCTCAACGGTACAAATTTGCCCTAATATATGAAAATCAACTAATGTGATACACCGTATTAACACGATGAAAACTAAAAGCACATGATCATTTCTATAGATAAAGTAAAATCCTCTGACATAATGTAACATTGCTTTGTGATAAAAACACTCATTAAACTAGAAACAGAAGGAAACTTTTTCAACTGCATAAAGGCCATCTACAAAATAACAACAGCTAAAATTATATCTAATTGTGAAAGATTGAATGCTTTCCTTCTAAAATCAAGAAATAGAAATAAAATCATCCCTATTCAGGATCTTGCATTTAGAAAATGCTAAGAAATTGACGCAAAAAATTATTAAAACTAGTAAGTATAGCAAAGTTGCAGAATACAAGCTCAATATACAAAGATTAATTGTACTTTTGTACATCACTAATATATAATCTGAATAAGAAATTAAGAAAACAATTATATTTACAAAAGTATCAGAATAAAATAGGAATAAATTTAACAAAAAACATGGATCATTTGTACACCAGAAACTATACAACATAACTGAGAAAACATATGGAAGACAGGAGGCAGGACTCACTTGTAGCTCCCACTCAGATTAACAGAACCACATGTGGAGACTCACATTATGAACTTTTGCTCCAAGACATACTGCAGGAACATACTGGGAAAACAAACAAACAAACAAAAGATTACAGACCTTTTGAAAGAAGCAGCTTCCTGCTGCAAATTCTGTGATGTGAGACAGTTGAAAAACTCAGCGCCCAAAGTGTGAGAGGGAGAAAGCCCACATCTGAACACAGATTCTCCCTGGGGAACCTGAAAATCAAGATCACAGGAGAAAGACTTAACCTTACCTAAAGCTGAAACAAATTTAGAGAGCCAAGTGAAATATAAAAGCAGAAGAAGCAGTGAGAAGAGCTGGTCCAACAGGACTCTTGGTCCCCAGGGAAGCTATTTCTGACTTCATCTCACAGGGTTCCTTTGGGAGGACTGCCAGTAGACCTGGGGAAGGACCACAGGAAGCAGAAAACTTCCCGGTGAACTCTTTAATAATTTTGAACTAGCACGAAATTTCCAGGGCAGAATTGGTGGGGGGTGGGGGCGGTGAATGTGAAGAGCAGGTACAAGCACAAAAGACATGGCAGGCAGGGATGGAAAAGGCCTGAAAGCCCAGCTTGCTTTCTCAGTGGGGAGGTTTGTAGTCTGGGACAATAACTCAGCCCTGCTCACTGGCCGTCTGGATGTAAACTCGGTGCTGTTGTTGGGGCATGGTGAAAGTGAGCTTTTCTGGCTACATAAGAGCTGGGAGAGGCAGATCACTGCTGGCATTCCCCCACTTCTCTGGTGACCTGTATGATGCAGCAGAGGAAGCCATAATCTCCCCATATTACCTCTCTGAAGAAAGAACTTAAGAGCTCAAAGACAAAGCATTCAAATTAACCTAATCCAACAAAGACAAAGAAAAAAAGTTTGAAAAACATGAACAAAGCCTCCAAGAAGTTTGGGATTATGTTAAACAACCAAACCTAAATAATTGGTGCTCATGAGAAAGATGATAAATCTAAAAATTTGGAAAACATATTTGAGAGAATAATCAAGGAATACTTCCCTGGCCTTTCTAGAGATCTAGACATACAAGTACAAGAAGCTCAAAGAACACCTGGGGAATTCATCACAAAGAGATCTTTACCTAGGTACATAGTCATCAGGTAATCTAAAGTCAAAACAAAAGAAACAATCTTGAGAGCTGTGAGGCAAAAGCATCAGGTAGCCTGTAAAGGAAAACCTATCAGACAAACAACAGATTTTTTAGCAGAAACCCTACAAGCTAGAAGTGATTGGGGTCCTATCTTTATCCTCCTTTAAAAAAAAAAATTATCAGCCAAGAATATTGTATCCAGCAAAATTAAGCTTCATTAATGAGTAAAAGATAAAGTCTTTTTCAAACAAACAAATGCTGACAGCATTTGTCACTGCCAAATGAATACTAAAAGAATTACTAAAAGGGGTTCCAAATTTTGAAACAAATTCTCAAAATACACCAAAATAGAAACTTCTTAAGGTTCTTAAAGCACAAATCTCACAGGGCCTGTAAAACAATAACACAATAAAAAAAAAAAAAAAAAAACAAGGTATTCAGGCAACAAATGGCATGATGAATAGAAAAGTACCTCACATCTCAATACCAACATTGAATATAAATGGTCTAATCGCTCAACTTAAGAGATACAGAATGGCAGAATGGATAAAAATTCACCAAGCAAGATTCTGCTGTCTTCAAGAAACTCACCTAACATAAAAGGATTTACATAAACTTAAGGTTAAAGGGTAGAAAAATATATTCCATGCAAATGAACACCAAGAGCCAACAGAAGTATCTATTCTTATATTAGACAAAACAGACTTTAAAGAAAGAGTAGTTAAAAAGACAAAGATGTATATTATGTAATGATAACAGGACTAGTCCAACAGAAAAATATCATAATTCTAAATATATATGCACCTTACAGTGGAGATTCCAAATGTGAAAAACAATTACTACTAGACCCAAGAAATGAGATAGATAGCATATAATAATAGTGGGGACTTTAGTACCCCACTGACTGAACTCTCATCAAGACAGAAAGTCAACAAAGAAACAATGGACTTAAACTATATCCTTCAACAAATGGACTTAACAGATATTTATAGAACATTGTATACCCAATGATTGCAGAATATACATTCTATTCATTAGCACACAGAACATTCTCCAAGATAGACCATACGATACACCACAAAACAAGTCTCAATAAATTTAAGAAAATCAAAATTATACCAAGAACTCTTTCAGACCACAGTGGAATAAAATTGGAAATCAACTCCAAAGGGAACCCTCAAAAACATGCAAATACAAGGAAATTAAATAGTCTGCTCCTAAATGATCCTTGGGTCAACAATACAATCAAGACAGAAATTAAAAATTTGTTTGAACTGAATGATAATAATGACACAACCTAACAAAACCTCAGGGATAGAGCAAAAGAGGTGCTAAAAGGAAAGTTCATAGCATTAAATGTCTACATCAAAAAGTCTGAAAGAACACACATATGCCATCTAAGGTCATGCCTTGAGGAACTATAGAAACAAGAACAAGCCAAACCCAAACCCAAACCCTACAGAAGAAAAGAAATAACAAAGATCAGAGCAGAACTAAATGAAACTGAAACAAAAATAAATACAAAAGATAAATGAAAGAAAAACCTGGTTCATTGAAAAGATAAACAAAACTAATAGAACATTAGTGAGATTAACCAAGACAAGAAGAGAGAAGATCCAAATAAGCTCAATTAGAAACAAAACAGAAAATACCACAGAAATACAAAAGATCATTCAAGGCTACTATAAACACTTTTATGTGCATGAACTGAAAAACCTAGAGGAAATGGATAAATTCCTAGAAATATAAAACCCTCCTAGATTAAAACAGGAATAGAAACTCTGAACAGACCAAAAACAAATAGCAAGATTGAAATGGTAATTTAAAAATTGCCAACAAAAAAAAAATCTAGGACCAGATGGATTCACAGCTGAATTCTATCAGACATTCAAAGATTTGATACCAATCCTATTGAAACTATTTCAAACGATAGAGAAAGAGGGACTCTCCCTAATTATGTTATGGAGCCAGTGTCACCCTACTACCAAAACCAGGAAATAACATAACAAAAAAAGAAAACTAGAGACAAACGTCTCTGATGAATGTTAATGCAAAAATTCTCAACAAAATATTAGCTAACCAAATCCAACAGCATATCAAAAAGATAATCCACCATGATCAAGTTGGTTTCATACCAGCGATTCAAAGATGGTTTAATATACCTAAATCAATAAACATGATACACCACATAAACAGAATCAAAAAGAAAAATCACATGATCATCTCAATAGATTCAGAAAAGCATTTGATAAAATCCAACATTGCTTTATGATTAAAACTCTCAGTAAAACTGGTGTAGAAGGGACATACCTTAAAGTAATAACAGATATCTATGACAGACTCACAGCCAACATTATACTGAATGTGATAGTGTTAAAAGCATTCCCCTGAGAACTTCGACAAGCCAAGAATGCCCACTTTCACCACTTCTATTCAACATAGTATTGGAAGTCCTACCCAAGGCAATCAGAGAAGAGAAAAATAAAGGGTATCCAAATCGGTAAAGATGAAGTCAAACTGTTGCTGTTCACCAATGATATTATCATATAACTAGAAAACCCCAAAGACTCATCCAAAGAGCTCCTAGGTCTGATAAATGAAAGTTTCAGGATACAAAATCAATGTACATAAATCAGTAGCACTGCTATACACCAAGGGCAACCAAGCTGAGAATCAACTGATAGGGACAGGAGGCAGGGAAATTCTGGGTAGAAGAGGGCAGGTGCCCAGTGAGGGCCCTGCTGATTCTCATCAAATCCCTGGTCTATCATGGATAGCTTGGTATAATTGAGAGGCTTAATTCTAGTCCTCCATTATGCACACCTGAAAGTGTCTCCTCTTCCATTCTCCCATCTCATCATTGGGATCCCATTTAGGGTCATCCAATGGTACTGTTTCTCTTCCAGTTGGATAAAGTTTGACCCCTTCCCTGACACTATATGTGATACAAAGCTCAATCCTTTCTGGAAAGGCTAAGAAGGGCTTTGATAAAGCACACCTCTCTATCTCCTGATTCAGTTGAGGGACACTTAATCCCTAAATGTATTTAAAAATCCATGTATTACTAAAAAATAAGTGGATTACTCAGGTATCCCCTGATATCAGGAGGAAGCTGCAGAAATGGGCCCTGAGACCAGATAGTACTTTAGAGAACCTCCTGAAATTGACCACTTCCATCTTTTATAATAGAGATAGGGAAACCCAAGAGAGAGAGAGGAGACACAGGAAAGAGGCAGAGGCTTCAATGGCCACCATGCAAGCCCACAAACCCAGAATCCCTGAGGTGCACCTCTTAACTGCTACAGATGTGGTAAGCCAGGAAATTTTAGGAAGAATTCCCCAGGCAGCATGAGGAACCCACCTTGACCCTGTCCAATCTGCAAAGGGGACCACTGGAAGGTGGACTGTCACCAGGGACACTGGTAACTGGGTTCAGAGCCAATCGCCCAAATGGTCCAGCAGGACTGATGGCTCCCAGGGTTCCTCTTTCCAGCTCCAGTGGTCCAGACCACCACTACCATCCAGGAGCTCCAGATAATTTTGGAAACTGAATAGAGAAAAGTGGATCTCCCTCTGCACACCATGGCTGGTCTCTCAGTTCTCCTCTCCAATCTGAGCTCCCTCTACTCTCTTAGCATAACTAGTGAGGGGTGTCTCAGGAAGTCCTTTAATCCAATATTCTTCCCAACCCGTTAATTGTAGTTCAGGAGACCTCTTGTTCACCCATGCCTTTCTAATTATCCCTGAAAGCACCAACTCCTCTGTTGGGTAGGAATATTCTGACCCATATGGGGACCACCATCCTGATGGCCACAGGACAAACTCTTTCTCTCTCCCTAGTGGAGACTAATATTAACCCAGAAGTTTGGGCAATTCAAGGGAAAATTGGCTGAGCCACAACCACCATACCGGCTGGGTCCACCTTAAGGCTCTCACCTCCTTTCCTAACCAGAAACAATAGCCCCTGAAACCAGAAGTTAAGAAAGGACTAGAAGCCATTATTGATAACTTAAGGTTGCAAGGCCTCCTCAAACCCTGGAACAGCCCTTTAATACCCCAATATTCAGGGCACAAAAACCCAGTTGGGAATGGAGACTAGTTCAGTACCTCCACCTCGTTAATGAGGCTGTGGTTCCAATTCACCTGGTGGTTCCCAATCCACATTCCCTACTAGCTCAAATACCTAAGGAAACTAAATAGTTCACAGTCCCAGACCTAAAGGATGCCTTCTTCTGCCTACCATTGCACCCCAACTCCCAATATTTGTTTGCATTTGAGGATCCCTCCAAATAAACCACCCAGTTAACCTGAATGATGTTACCTCAGGGACTCTGAGATGGCCCCCACGTGTTTGGACAGGCATTGTCAAGAGAACCCTCTGAGTTACTTTATCCTCAGGTGAAAGTTTTACAGTATGTAGATGACATACTTCTCTGAACTTCAACTGAGGAAATCTCTCAGGAGGGCAGTAAGGCTCTTCTTAATTTCCTGGCTAACAGAGAATACAAGGTTTCAAAATCTAAAGCTCAGCTCTGTCAGACTTAAGTGAAGTACCTAGGTCTGGTCTTGGCAGAGTGGACCAGGGCATTGAGCAAAGAAAGGATTAATCCCATTTCCTCCTTTCCTTTCCCCAAAACACTCAAGCAACTGAGGGGATTCTTAGGCATTACAGGATTCTGCAGACTATGGATACCTGGGTACAGTGAATAGCTCATCCCTTATATCACCTAATAAAGGAGATTTGGATAGCTAAAACTCACTAATTTGGGAACCAGAGGCTAGAAAAGCCTTTGACCAACTGAAACAAGCCTTGCTTAAGGCAATACTCCTTAGTCTTCCCATAGGGAAGATGTTTAATCTTTATACCTCAGAAGGAAAGGGAATGGCCTTGGGAGTTCTAACCCACATCTGGGGTCCAGCCCAGAAACCTGTAGGCTACCTAGGTAAGGAGCTTGATTTTGTAGCCAAAGGAGAGCTGGCTTGCCTCCAGGCAGTTGCAGCAGTAGCCTTTCTGGTTACCAGAGGTTACTGAGTTAACCATAGGGAATAACTTAACCATCTATACTCTGCATAATGTGGCAGGACTTTGGTTTTCTAAGGGGAGTCTCTGGCTAATGAATAACTGCCTCCTCAGGTATCAAGCTCTGCTATTAGAGGGATCTGCAGTCCAAACAAGGACCTGTCCATCCCTAAATTCAGCCACCTTCCTCCCAGGGGAAGCTGAGAGCTTGAACATGACTGTGAACAGATAGTAGTATCCAGCCAGAGAGGGCCTCTAGGAAACCCCCTTAGAGAACCCAGACAAAATTCTCTTTATGAGTGGAAATTCTTTTGTAAAACAAGAGATCCATAAAGCATGGTATGCTATAGTTATTCTGACTGATATTTTTGAGAGCTCGTCTCTCTCCTCGGGAACAAGAGCTCAACTAGCTGAGCTCATTGCCCTCACGAGGGCACTCAAATTAAGCAAAGGGAAAGCAGTTAACATTTACGCTGATTCTAAGTATCCTTTCCTAGACCTCCATGCCCATGCTGCTATCTGGAAAGAGAGAAACTTTCTCACAGCTAATGGGTCTCCCATTAAATACCAACAGGAAATTAATTGACTATCATCCTCAGTTTTCATCCCATAGGAAGTAGCAGTAACACAATGTGAAGGCCCCCAAAAGGAATGGATAAAGTAACTGAGGGAAATAGGTTGGAAGACTAAGCAGCTAAGTCAGCAGAGAGAGGGCCTCAGATTTCTGATCCACTTGAAGCCCCACTGGTCTGGGAGGGCCTCATAGGAGAAATAAAACTTCAGTATTCTCCTATGGAAATAGAATGGGGCACCTCTTGGGGTTACATCTTTCAGTCCTCAGGATGGCCACAATTGGAGGATGCCAAGCTTCATCTACTGGCTGCCAAACAATGGAAAGTTCTTAAAAGCCTTCACCAGGCCTTTCACCTGGGTAAAGATAAAACCTTTCAAATGGTTCAGAGATTGTTCTCAGGTAAAAACCTGACACAAATAGTTAAACAGGTTGTTAATGCTTGCAAGATTTGCCTTAAAAATCATCCCTTCAGCTGACCACTTCTGCACCCAGGAACTCAAAGGACAGCAGGCTGAGGGAAAACTAGCAAATGGATTTCACCCATATGTCAAAGGTAAGGGGCATCCAGTACCTTCTAGAATGAACAGATACCTTCACTAACTGGGTAGAGCCATTTCCATGTGGGACAAAGAAAGCCTCCAAGGTGGTAAAAGTACTGATTAATGAGATAATTCCTTGCCCTGGCCTGCCTAAGCAACTTCAGAGAGATAATGGCCTCTCATTCAAGGCAGCTGTGACCCAGGGGGGGTCACAAAGGCACTAGGAATACACTACCATCTTCATTGTGCTTGGAGACCACGATGCTCAGGAAAGATAGAAAAGACAAATGATATTATAAAAAAGGCACCTCAGAAAACTATCTCCCTCAGACTAATCTTCCCTAGACTAACCTTCTCACCATAGCTCTACTACATATTTAAAACAGCCCTTTAAAGCTAGGTTTGAGTCCTTTTGAAATGATGTATGGACAGCCTTTTCTCACCAATGATTTCTTGCTAGACAAATAAATCTCTGATTTGCTAGACAAATAAATCTCTGATCTTTGGCCCATTTCCAACAGGAACTGGAGCAACTGTCAGAGGCCCAATCCCATGAATTTGGGCCACTTCTATTCAACCCAGGGGACCTAGTACTGATGAAGGTACTTCCTTCCCTTCCTCCCTCTATAAACCCAGATTGGAAGGGACTTTACGCTGTACTTGTTTCCACTCCTACAGCACTGAAAGTCACTGGAATATGTTCTTGGATTTATTATACCCAAGTAAAGGCCTGGAAAGCTCACAGAGTTACCTCCATCAACCCAGAAGACCACCGAAAGTAACAATGTGAAGAGATCAGAGATCTCAAGTTAATAATTTTTTAAAAAGTGTTAATAATTAGCCTTTCAGGTATATTCTCTTTATAGTCTTGCCTATGCTTGCTGTTGTTACCTTCGTTCTATTGTATACCACAGGTTAAAAATGGTGATTTCAGAATGATTAGTATATTTCACTTATTTCTGTAATCTTTGGCACAAAATTCTTTCCTTTTAACTCCTCTTTGTGTAATACACATATTTGATCCACACATACTTAACTTTGTAAAACTTGTTTTTTCTTGCCTAGAGGCCATCAAACTCCAAGCTATCAAACAACCGGAGCCTCAGACAATGGTTCCCTTTTGCTGGGGACCTCTGGGAGGAATCTGACTGCTGTTCTGCCTAAAACAACACCCCCTGTCACCAAAAAGCCTGACACCATGACCCAAAGTGAGAACTTATATCATTGTTTTCCTGCTCTAATGTTGCCTTTTCCAAAACCACTCATGTTCTGTCCCACCCCCATCCTGTACAGATAAAAATCCCAGGCTCAGCCAACAAAAGAGGAGAAGCAGCTGGACGTCAGAGACTATGGTTGCATGTCGGAGAGAAGCAGCTTAACTTTAAAGAGAGAGCTTGATGGTGTCACTTCAGAGAGGAGTCTGGCCAGGGATGGTCAGACTTCAAGGGAGGATTGCCTCCCCACCCTGTCCCCTTTTCAACTCCCATCCCACTAAGAGTGACTTTCATCAGCAATATAATCCCCTGCATTTACCATCTTCAATTCATTCATGCAACCTCATGTTTCCTGGATGCCAGAAAAGAGCTCAGAGCCACAAATGTGGTGCAAAAGGCTGTCACACTGACCCTCCATTGAGCTGTTAACACTAAAGCCATCCACAGATGGCAAAGCTAAAAGTCCACTGTAACAGTCATTCTGGGGCTTCAGGGGTTGTGAGCACCCTTCAAGATGGTGCCATGAGTTTTTCTCCTATTGGTGCCCAAAAGCACTCACCCTGGTTTCTGCACCCACTCACCTGCATACTCCCTCTTGTGAGGGGTTGAGAACTGTGGGATGAGTAAGTGAGGCACTCCTGTCATGAGGCCCATGAAGGGGTCAGAGAAATATCCTGCTTCAAAATTAATAACTCAACATCTTTTACAGTAGTTGCAAAAAAAAAAGAAAAAAGAAAAAAAAACTTAAGAATACATCTAACCAAAGAGGTGAAAGACCACTACAAGGAAAACTACAAAACACTGCTGAAAGAATTCATAGATGACACAAACAAATGGAAACATATCCCATGTTCATGGATGGGTAGAATCAATATTGTGAAAATGATCATACTGTCAAAAGCAATCTAGAAATTCAATGCAATTCTCATAAAAATACCATCATCATTCTTCACACAACTAGAAAAAGCAATCCTAAAATTCACATGGAACCAAAAAAGAGTTCACATACTCAAAGAGTAAGCAAAAAGAACAAGTCCGGAGGCATCACATTACATGACTTCAAACTATAATGTAATGCCATAGTCACCAAAACAGCAAGGTACTGGTATAAAAGTAGGCACAAAGACCAATGGAACAGGATAGAGAGGACAGAAATAAAGCAAAATACATATAGCCAACCAATCTTTGACAAAGCAAACAAAAACATAAAGTGGGGAAAGGACACCCTATTCAACAAATGGTGCTGGGATAATTGGCAAGCCACATGTAGAGAATGAAACTGGATCCTCATCTCTCACCTTATGCAAAATCAACTCAAGATGGATCAAACACTTAAATCTAAGACCTCAAACCATAAAGATTCTAGAAGATAACATTGGAAGAACCCTTCTATACATTGGCTTAGGCAAAGACTTCCTGACTTAGAACACAAAAGCAAATGCAACAAAAACAAAGATAAATAGAAGGAGCTTAAACTAAAAATCTTCTTCACAGCAAAAGAAATAATCCTCAGAGTAAACAGACAACCCACAGAGTGGGAAAAATTCTTTGCAAACTGTGCATCTGACAAAGAACTAATTCCAGAATCTACAAAGAACTCAAACGAATCAGAAAGAAAAAAAACAAACAATCCCATCAAAAAGTGGGCAATTGACATGAATAGATAATTCTCAATTTTGGCCATATACAATGGTCATATACATATAAAAAATGCTCAACATCACTAATTTTCAGGAAAATGCAAATCAAAACCACATTGCCATACCATACCACCTTACTCCTACAAGAATGGCCATAATTTAAAATTCAAAAATTGTAAATTTTGGTATAGATGTGGTGAAAAGCAAACACTTTTACACTGCTGTTGGGAATGTAAACTAGCACAACCACTATGGAATACAGTATGGAAAGCCCCTGAAGAACTAAAAATAGATCTACCACTTGATACAGCAATTCTACTACTGGGTATCTACTCAGAGGAAAAGAAGTCATGATATCAACAAGACACTTGCACACACCTGTTTGTGACAGCACATTCACAATTGCAAAAATATGGAACCAGCCCAAATGCCCATCGATCAACAAGTGGTAAAGAAAATGTGGTATGTATATATCATGGAATACTACTCAGTCATATAATGGAATAAAATAATGGCATTTGCAGCAACCTGGATATAGTTGGAGACCATTATTCTAAGTGAATTAACTCAGGAATGGAAAACTAAACATCATATGTTCTCACTTGTATGTGGGAGCTAAGCTATGAGGATGCAAAGGCATATGAAAGATACAATGGACTTTGGGGACTCAGGAAGGGAGAGGGGGTGAGGGATAAAAGACTACACATTGGGTGCAGTGTACACTGCTTGGATGATGAGTGCACCAAAATCTCAGAAATCACCACTAAAGAACTTGTTTACATAACCAGACACCACCTGTTCCCCAAAAACCTATTTGAAATAAAAATAATACTTGAAATAAACTTAAAAAGGAATAAATGGAAGGGCATTAATGTATGGATTGGAAGACTTAGTACTGTTGCAATAGCAATACTCCCCAAATTGATCTATAGATTCAATGCAATTCTTATGAAAGTGTCAGCTGCCTTTTTTAGAAATTGGCAAAAAGATCTTAAGATTCACATGGATGCAAGGGACCCAGAATAGCTAAAACAATCTCTAAAAGGAAGGACAAAGTTGGAGGACTCCCATTTCCAATTTCCAAACTTAATACAAAGTGCCCATAATCAATATAGTATGGTACTTGCATAAGGACAGACATACAGGTCAATGGAATGAAATTTTGAATCCAAAAATGCACCCTTCTATTTATGGTGAATTGATTTTCACAAGGGTACCAAAGAAGTTCAATGAGCAAAAATACATCTTTAAAAAAAGACACTAAGACAACTGGATATAATGCACAAGAATGAAATTGGGCTCCTATCTCACACAATATATAAGCATTAATTTTTTTAAGAAGAGCAGAGTATGAAGTATGAGAGTTAAAACTATAAAACTCTTAGAAGTCAACATAGTAGTAAATCTTTGTGACCTTGAATTAGGCAATGATTTTCTAGTTATGAAACCAAAAGCAATAATAAACAGATAAAATTACACTTTATCAAAGTATTTTTGCATTTCAAAGGAAAACATGAAGAAAGTGAAAAAACCCACAGAATGGGAGCATTATTTGCAAATTGTATATCTGATAGGAGATTTGTATCCAGAATATTTAAAGAATTCTTGTAACTCAACAACAAAAAGACAAATAACCCAATTTAAAAATAGACAAAGAATTTCAATAGCTATTTCTGCAATATACAAGTGGTCAATAAGCACATGAAAAGATACTTAACATCATTAATCATTAGGGAAATGCAAATTAAAACAACAATGAGATACAAATTTGCACATACTAAGATGGTTATAATCAAAAGGACAGACAGTGACAAGAATTAGTGAGGATAATTGAAACCTTCATACAATGCTGGTGGAAATTTTAAATTATGCAGCCACTTTTGAAAACAATGTGTCAGCTCCTTAAAAAAAGTTAAACACAAAGTTACCATTTGATCAAGCAGTTTCACTCCTAAGTATATAATCAAGAGAATTAAAAGCACATGTCTACACAAAATCTTGCAGAGAAATGTCATAGCAGCATTATTCATAATAGACCACAAGTGGAAACAATCCAAATGTCCATCAACTGATGAATGGATAAATAAAATGTGTCAGATCCATACAATGAAATATTATTCAGCAATGAAAAGAAATGAAATGTAATACATGTTATAACATGGATGACCTTTAAAACATTATGCTAAGTAAAAGAGGCCAGAAACAAAAAGGCCACATATTGTATGAATCCTTTTATATACAAGGTAGAGTAGGTAAATCCATAAAGACAAAAAGTCATTCAGTGGTTGCCAGGACCTAGGAGGTATGGGAGAATGGAGAGAATTGCTAAAGGGCATGAGCTTTCCTTTGGGATGATAAAAATATTCTTTTAAAAAAACTGTATGAGGTACAAGTTCAATTTTATTACATGCATAAATTATGTTGTGGTGAAGTCAAGGCTTTCAGGGTATTCATCACCCAAATAATGTACATTGTATCCATTAGGTAATTTCTCATCATCCACCCTTCTCTTACCCTTTCACCCTTCCAAGGCACCATTGTCTATCATCCCCCACTCTACGTCCATGTATACACATTATTTAACTCCCACTTATAAGTGAGAACATGCAATATTTGTCTTTCTATATCTGACTTGTTTCACTTAAGGAAATGACCTCCAGTCCTATCCATGTTGCTGCAAATGACGTAATTTTTTTAATGGATGAGTAGTATTCCATTGTGTATATATACCACATTTTTTATCCAATCATCTGTTGATAGACACATAGATTGATTCCATATCTTTGCTATTGTGAATAGTGCCACAATAAACATACAAGTGCAAGTATCTTTTTGATATCATTACTTATTTTCTCTTGAGTATATACCCAGTATTGCAATTGCTGAATCCAATGGTAGCTTTGTATTTAGTTCTTTGAGAAATCTTCATACTGTTTTCTATAGAGGTTGAACTAATTTATATTCCCACCAACAACATATAAGAGTTCCCTTATCTCCACATACTCACCAACATCTATTATTTTTTGACTTTTTAATAGTAACCATTCTGACTAGAATAAGATGATATCTTGTTGTAGCTATAATTTGATTTCTTGCTAATTAGCGAAGGGATGATAAAAATATTCTAAAATTAGATACTGATGATGCTTGCACAACCCTGTGAATATACACTGCAAAAGGGTGAATTTTATGTGTGAATTATATCTCAATAAAATATAAAACAATATTTTAATTAATAAATAAAATACATCTGTTTACCCCCCCCCAAAAAAAAACCCAGATCAATGGCTAGAAGGCAAAGAAGCTAGAAAATACACTATTCCTATTCTAAAGCTGATAATCATTTTACCATGTTGTAGATATCTCTAAGTAAGAAGTTGACAAAGATCAACAAAA
This sequence comes from Homo sapiens, assembly GCF_000001405.40. NCBI lineage: Eukaryota > Metazoa > Chordata > Mammalia > Primates > Hominidae > Homo > Homo sapiens. The sequence continues at coordinate 43,995 of NT_187628.1, forward strand.
AGATGTGTTCCATTCCAAAAATTTCTCGATTCTATGATTCAGCGCAGAAAGATTGTGCAAGTTTATACTTTAGTAATACAGAACAAAGTGAGTACTGGTGATAGCAGCAGAAGGCAGACACATTTCTAGGCAGACAGGGGTGAGTCCCCAGTAAAACTAGACCTTCAAACCAAGCACAGCTTAAAGCCTGAAAACTGAGTTACCAGCGTCCACAACCAGAGTGAGAACTTCCTCAGTGCCTTTTAGCCAATTTAATGGTGCTTTGTCCAGGCCCACTTATGGACCAATCAGCACACACTCCCCCATTCTGATCCCATAAAAACCCTGGACTCAGCCACATATTGGGACTACATGCTTTCAGGTAGGGGCTACCCACTTCAGGTCCCCTCTTGTGTCAAGAGCTGTTCTGTTGTCTCTTCTCTGCCTTGCTTATTCTCCAGTTGTCCATGTAACCTCATTCTTCTTGGACATGGGACAAGAACCCAGTACCCACCAAATGGCAGGTGCAAAAAATGCTGTAACACTGTAGCCCTCCAACCCTCTGCTGGCACCAGGCTGTTGCTTCATGTAACAGGAAGCAGTGGCAATGGGGCCAGGCCAGCCAAGAAGCTATGAGCTGGAATGTGGGCAGCAGGACTGAACAAGCTGTAAAACAAATGAGCTGAAACTTGCTGCCCTCCCACCCCCATTCACTGTGCTGCAGGCAGTGGAAAGAAGAGAGAGATGTATCACTCCTTGAGGGCTCAGACCTCAGGACTCCCCAAGCAACTGTAACACCCCTTGGGCTCCACAGTTGCTGGCATCTCTGAGTTTTCAGAAGCCACTGCAGCCTCCTTGTCCAGACACTGGCACCCAAGCAGAAATGATTCAAGACAGCACACCCGGACCAGTCATGGACTGAGCACAGAGTTGGCAGGCACTGGATCCAGGCCCATAGCACAAGCTGAGTGCAATCACTGGGCTGAGTGAGAGGAGTAAGCCTAGCAGAAAACCCAGTGCCAAGCAAAGCCTGAGCAAAGGCACCACTAGCCACAGAGCTTTCCTGCTGGCAAAGGAGCACCAAAAGAATCCTGTGTCATTTCTGGGGGTCATCTGAGATCTGCAAAAGGGTAAGTAAAAGTGGACCTCTTTCACTTTCATTTCGAGGCTTCTTGTCCTCAGTTTTTTTTTCTGAAAACAGATAAAGCGCTAGGCCTGTAGCAGCCAGTTAAGAACAAATGGCATGGCTGCAGAGGATAGATTTGTTGGGGAGGACTTTCACAACGCACCCTCTTGTCCCCATCACCCCCAGGTATCGAGAATATTGGCTTTGTTCCAATCCAGTCTCCCTTCACAGAAGTCTAGTTATCATGTGGGATCAAAATAAGGTCCTGGGGCAACTGAAAGTATCTGGCCAAGGGTACATCTCTGCATTACCTGAAGCTTCCTGGGCCAGCCCTCAATCCCTGACAGCCCATTCGGGTGTCAGCCAAGACCTTCAATCTTTCTTATGGATTTTTTTTTCCTTTGCAGAGGTCATAGCTCCTATCTCTTCTTTATATACAATGCTAAGGGTGTTGTTGCAAACCACAGAGATAATATGACTGGGTAGAATGAGCATTTGGCTCAGTCATCAGGAGTATAATTCAGAACAATGTGGTATGTGTCCATTCTTAGAAACTAAGAGGATGTAACAATTGAGAGTTTTCTGTCCCCTGTTAAAGGAATCAATTTGCATAGGGCAAGAGCCTATTTCCCCCCAGCCACCTTCCCCTTCCCTGCATTTAAGGGTTCCTCCCACTGCCCCCCGCACCTTGTCAGGAGTCAACAGCTTCACCTTAGCATTGTGCTTATGATAGAGAAGCAACCGAGGAGCTGCCCTACTGGTTGTTGGCTGCAATTTGCTGAGGACCACCTGGGACTAGTTTAATGGGTCTGTGTACACTCCTGAGGCACCTTTTTGTCCCAAATTCAATTCCAAGCTTCAGGTTGAAGGCCTAAAGAGGGAAAATTAGATCTGAGGGACCCAGAGGCAGTCAGAGTGGAAGGCTAGGGCACAGCCCGAGTGAGCATGACTATCCTTGCTAATTAGGCCTTCCCACTTCACTGGGAAGAACTATCATCATGACTTTGATGTGAAATCAGAATTAAGAACTAATTCTCTGAACTTACAGTGTGAAGATTACATCTGCAGAGCAGACACGCAAGTGGTTCTCAGGAACCATTCAGTTTTTAAAATACAATTTCTGGCAGTATGTAAGATTGGTCATTACAAACCCTGCTCCTCTCTCCCTACCTTAATAACCAGGACCCCACTTTTCAACATTCTGAATATCACCAGTCTTAGGGAACCAAGTCCTCCACTCCATCAAACACTTCTAGAAACTGCTTCGTAAAAGTATCACTTGTGAATCCAGAAGAACTGACTGACAGAGCAGGAGCATCATCATCTTGGACAAGTCCCTCATTCTAAAGTTCACCTTAATAAAAACCACCTAAATCCAAAGGGTATCAGCCTAATGGCTAAGGTCAGCATGACCATAAACCACAAATAACATCTCCAACCAGAAACATTCCAAACTCCTCCACAACCAGGGACATGCTAGCCCCGAGATAAACACCACTCCAGGCCAGAAGGATGTCTGCCCCAAGATAACCTCCCCTCCTCGCAAAGAGATTCCAACCCTGTCATAAACTTCCCCAACACATAAATATTCCAAGTTGTAATAAGCCCCCCCTCCCTAAGACCAATATATACTCTTAGTCTGTAAGAGAAAACTCTCCTGACTGATATCAGCCAGGAGTGCCTCTCAGGTTTTAACTAAAGAAAACCTGTCTTAGTGTTCTCATTGCTCAATTCCCACCTATGAGTGAGAACATGCGGTGGTTGGTTTTCTGTCCTTGTGATAGTTTGCTCAGAATGATGGTTTCCAGCTTCTTCCACATCCTTACAAAGTAAATGAACTCATCCTTTTTTATGGCTGCATAGTATTCCATGGTGTATATGTGCCACATTTTCTTAATCCAGTCTATCATTGATGGACACTTGGGTTGGTTCCAAGTCTTTGCTATTGTGAATAGTGCCAAAATAAAGGACATAGGATGGGGAACATCACACACCGGGACTGTCGTAGGGTCGGGGGAGGCGGGAGGGATAGCATTAGGAGATATACCTAATGTAAATGATGAGTTAATGGGTGCATCACACCAACATGGCACATGTATACATATGTAACAAACCTGCATGTTGTGCATACGTACCCTAGAACTTAAAGTATAATTTAAAAAAAGGAAAAAGAAAACCTGTCTTTAACTGCCAGCCACATTTCATGTTTCTTTCCTCTTTCTTTAACTCTTAAACTGACTATGTTCAATAATAAAGTCAATAAACAGGTCAAATAATATAAACATCCAGTTGATGTTTTCTGAATGTTAAATTTGTAAGACAAAGAGTTCTACAATTCTATGGAACAGGGATATGAAAGATAGTGGGAAGTAGGGAGAACATCAAAGATTCAAATGTTCATAGGTCTGTAGGTCTTTGTCAGATATTTATGACATGTTCTCAGGACACTGAACAAGAGCCAGTGTTTGAGTTCTTAGAATAAAGCAAATCCAAAAACATTAGTTTTCAGAGCTTGAATAGACCTTAGAGATCACCAAACCAAACTCCTTATTTTATGAACTAGAAAACTGCAGTGCTAAGAAAAACAAAACCAGATATGATTAGCTTATACAGTTAGTTGGAGATATGGGATTTGAATGCAGGTTTCTTGATTCATGGACCAGTCATTCTTTGGCAGTTTTAGTTCTACCTCTTCAGAGCAACCACAAATTATTTGAGAGAGTTGTCCTGTCTTCTTTATCAATACAAAGTATGCAATCTACAGGTAAAGTCCATTTAAGGAAGTTTAAATTACTCCTCTCGGCCTCTTAAGTTGTTCAGAGACAATCTCGGCACCATGAAATATGTTTTCTACTTAGTCTCATAGTATCCTCTTGATTTAATACTATGGAGATAGGTTGAATATCTCAAAAACATGACTTAAGAAGACACCAAGGGTCACCGGCCAATGTTCCTCCTACAGAAACAAAGAATTCAATCTTATAGATAACTCAAGAGAATAGAATCTCCTCATGATCATTCCCTCCCACTTTTCATTCTGTTCTTCTTTGCTGCTTTTAAACTCCTTTCCATTTCCCCTTTGCTTCTTTATATCTCTCTGCTCAAATACATACCAGAAACATTGGGACCAAGTCAGAGGTTTGAAGACTGAATATTCTTTTCCCTTTGCTCACCACAGGGACTCCACCTATTCATCCTAACCAAAATATATGAACAAGCTGCAACTCACTGCCTACTTTCTATTAGTTCCATTCTCATTTGTTTTAAGGCCTCGGAATATTGCATATGGATAATAACATAAAAAGTAATAAGTCCTCTCACAATTCCTTGTGAAATAAAAATCTAGCAATGGGGGTGGGGAGGATTGACAGTCTAATCATCTATTATAATAGCAGTATTTTGTTTTTTGTTTTAAACAAACTGCAGTTTGGAATAGCAATCTGTTTTGTTTATCATGTCAAGTTCTTATGAAAGTATTTCAGTTGGATTTCACCCAAAATCTATAACACACCATGTAATACATAATTTTGCTGTCATATGGTTGCAAATTTTGACACTTATTTTGCCAGAAAATACAGGTATGAATATGAAAGAGGCCCCCTCAGAGATTTATTGCTTAGTATCCCAGTAGTTCCTCAGTCTTTCTTTGTCGAAGCTCAACCAGCCAGTATTTTACCAAGCAGATTTTGTTGCCCTTTGTTTCTGTTTAGATTTCCTTAAAAATTACCCTTCAAAAAATCCATAGGCTAATTTTTTTTATTTTTATTGCTAATTGTTCCTAATTCTTCAACATTAAATGGTATAAACTGTCTTGGATATTCATAGCTAAAATAAATGCAGACAATTTTACAATTTCCTTGAATGGTCATGGTTGTACAATGAAACTTTTTGTTACTCTTTCAATTGCACATAAAAATTACTCTTTTTCTCTTTGTCTATCTACCTCAAAATTCTTTGTTTCAAGTATACAAATGAGTCATTAGTGAAAGCAAAATGGGTACTTTTTATCTAAGGAAGGTTAAAACTTAACTTACTTTAAAATTCAGCATTTTCTGGGTTAAATTAGAACACTACTTCAATATCTGCAATTCAAATAAGTCCTCTGAGAAATTGGCCTCCATAACCAGTGACGTGCTGCTGAACTGAACAGATCTCCAAAATATCCTAACAGATTTCTTTCTTTCATTGTAGAATTGTTTCCATCTGGTGCTTAGATATTAAACCTGGAATATGTAAAGGCTCTCCTCTCTCACCCTGTTTGACTTCCAAATGCTGGCAAATAATTTGCATTGTCAATGAATTGAGGATTAAAATTTTGAACTTAACTGAGTAGCTGCAAGATGCAAAATTTAAAGTGATAGATCTTCAAAGTAGTGAATTTTTCTCTTTTAATTTTGAGAAATGGAGACTTGAAATGTTACTTGTTTGTAGAACATTCTAATTTGAACTTTATTTGCTTAAAAAGAATAAAAATTTTCTCAATTTTTATCCCAAGTTCAGGATATCAAAACATGAATTTATGAACAGTATTATAGGCCAAATTTTTGAGTACTTAAATCAGAATATTAGCATCTAAAAATACTTGCATGCATATATTTCAAGAGATAAGCAGATAGCTATTTAGACGTATACATGTTGAAGTTTCCAAGACCCTCGGTCACTGACAGTGATTTCTTCATGAAAATTTTAAGGAGGCTTCACAGTAATAGAAAATAATGTCTGACTTTTACGATTGGCAACATTTTTCATGGCATTTTAACTGGAAAGCACAGAGTTACTTCTGAGAAACATAATTGCTTCCAGAAATGTTTAACCCACTAGGAGAATGTTTACATGAAGTGAGCAATAGTCACAAGAAGTGAATAAACCAATTCTATGCACACAGCAGTGTAAAAAGCCTGGAAGCAGGCATACAGGGATCTGTAAGAGAACCAATGCAGGACATGATCATTCTGTTCAATTGTTTTCTTATTGTCAGTAGTCTGGCAACTTCCACCCATTCCCCTTTAACCCAGCAGTTGATAGCACATGGCTTCCAGAGCAAATAGTCAACCAGTTCTCTTTTCCAAATCTTCACATTTAAGTCTGTCTTCCCCCTGACCATGCCTTTCTTTCTGACATTCCATTATACTTTCTTCACATTGTGTCTCATTTAATTGCTTCCTTTAATCTCTTTTTCTTAAATTTGATCTGCCTTGATCTGGAATATTTTCTGATGCACTGAAGTAAAACTGGTCATTCTCCATTTCATAGCTAGTTAAAAAGATAACTTTGAGTTCCTACACACACTTGGAACTGCTCACCATCTCTGCCAGTGTGCTCACATTTACTTAAAAAAAAAAAAGTCTAAGAAGACTTACGGCAAAGCATTACCTTGAGAAGGACAGTTAAGAATGTTTTGCTGATAGGCATATAATCACTTGACTGATTTTCACAAACATTTGTGGGAATCTGTTAAAGTATCTTAGTCCAGTTCGGTCTCAGCAGGACCCAACATCTTGACCCAAAGGCCTCCAAACAAAAAGATTCATTAAAGTGGTGAAAATTTTCCATAAAACTTTAAGACATCAAAGAACTAATTTCTGTAGTTCCCTGCCATGCAAAATATTACAGTATAAGTTTAGAGCTAATATTGGAACTAGAATAATCTAGAACAGATAGATATTCTCAAAATATTGTACATACTTTAAACTAAAATCTAAAAAAGATCCAAAAACACCCGTTGCAGTTTGCAACATGAGTCTTACAGAAAATTACAATGTGTACTTCTAGCTAAAAGGAGCAAACAAACAAAAATCAACGCTAAGTGAATGATGTAACTGTTTTGTATCTTTTCATCCACTCAAAAAGAAGAAAGAAAGAAGAAAGAGAGAGAGAGAGGAAGGAAGGGAGGAAGGAAGGAAGGAAGGAAGGAAGGAAGGAAAGAAGGAAGGAAGGAAGGAAGCGAAGGAAAAGAAGGAAAGGAAGGAAAGGAAGGAAGATTTTATTTCCTCCGATTAAAAGTTGCATTTTCTTTTCTGTCTCCTTTTTTCCTTCCTCTCCCCCATCTGCCCACTGTTCCCTCTTTCCTTTTCTCCATTTGTATGACAGTGGCACTGATTCAAAGAAGGGGTGGAGTCCGAAATTTTGGGTGGTCTTAGTAAAGCTTTAGTCTTTGGCTAACCTCTCCTTAAATTGGTCAGAAGCCAAAAATTTCCAGTATTAGGGAGAGTCACTTTGAAAAGTTGTATATGCATGTCTGTGTGCATGTCAATATATTTGCTCTGGCTTAACAAGAAAAACTGAACAACATATCCCTGTGTAAGCTGTGGTTCTTATTTGGTTTCAGTGTTCATTTATTTCAGTTTATTGTTTGACATCTCCCACTAGCTAAGCCAGGAAACTCATGGCAGATCTTCAAAAAATAACTCCACTCCCACATTTCTTTTTTTCTTTGTTCTGATTCTTTACTCTCTCTTACCCTCAAAAAGTTTAATGAAACAAGTGTTCAGGGAAAGATAGTATTTGCTTATTGTATCTTATTATAGTTTTAAGAACCAAACATAAAGTCTCCCTTACAGCTTCTCTGTTTTATTATAAAATTATACTTGATTCAGATTTGTTTTGAAAGACCAGTTTACTTTTTTTAATTAAAAAGAGGAATACAATGTCCTTTCCATAAGTAGACTCACAAAGAAGGTAGGAGTCATTTTCTTCCATTAATGTCACAACAAAACAGTCTTACATACTCTGAATTGGAGTGAAAATTAGAGAAATAAATCACCTGCATGATGAGCATACATTATCATGGAATTTTTAAAGGCCTCATCTTTTGGGTACCTGGCAATAACTAAGCAAAAATAACCAACAGGGTAAAAAAATGCCACCATCATTTCAATGAAAATAACCAAACTGCTCCCAGAAAACAAAGTAGCAAATCCATTTAGGCTCACTGGTGCATGTCTGGAACTTTCCAAATGAAACCTTGCATCAAAGAAAAGTTTAAACACTTTTCTTCAAGATCAGTCAAAACTAAACTAAAATTGCATGGCTTAAAGAGTTACAAATTTCCACTCTTAAAAGCAATCTTATTTTGGTTGCTTGCAGCTGGTCCCAAAGCAAGAAATGAAATATTTAAAATGGAGGAGTTTGCAATATATTACTGGATCCTTTCTTAAGTGGCTATCCCTCCAAAGAATGCCAAAACTTTGTAGACTTGATTAGGATTGCACTGGAGCCGGACTCAGCACTGCAGATTAGTGTAGAGCACGTTTTATCCAAAGCTAGCACGCAATGAATAAGCTTTATTTTTAAATGAAAAATTCCAAAGATACTGATTCACATAAAGAGGGAGCATTTCAAGTTCACATTATGAAAAGTCATTGGTAGGACCAACAATACAGTATTTAGTGTAGCTGTTCTGGAACACAATGGAGCTAAATTGATTAAGCAGGGATATGAGCTACAAAGTGAATATCAGATATAACAGACTAATGCTTTAAAGAACTACAAGCTGCTGATTCTCAATAGCCTTATGAGTTTTTAATTCTTACATTATAGAACTCTATAAACCAAATCACCTTCAAAATGATAATAAATTGAAAATCTTCAAAATAATCAATCTTCTTTGAATGTGCTTCTATTCAAAAAGAATGTGAGAATTGAGTTTTTCCAAAAAGTGACAAACCTAATTTCAGTGATGATGACTTTTTTTATTTCCAACTGGAGAAAGAGGCAAAGATCTAGTTGCTATTTAAGTTTGACAAAGTCTACATTTTGAGGAAATCTTATTATCCTTAGAATATTTAGAATAATGCTAGTAGTTAAGAGTGAACAATACTGTCTCTGTTTCTATATAGCAGAATGAGCACATGCATCTAATTGCAATATTATCTGACAGTCTACTTAAACTATAGTAAAGTATTTTTTAAAAGATTTAAACCCACAAAGACACAAAGAATAAGAATAAAGATAACACTGCATTGTGAGAGTTGAATGACACACACAGACACACACACACACACAGAGAGAGAAAGAGAGAGATTGACTAACGGCTATTTCCTCCCACTAGTAGTTATGGGAAACTTAGGGTAAAATCTAATTTATGTCAGAGAATACTCAAAAGGCATAGGAACTAACAGCAACAGGTGACTTTATAATGAGGGTTTATGGGAGACAGGAGATAAAATAAAGAGGCCCAGAGAAAAGCTTTTTGAGAAACAAGCAGATCTCAGGATCCTCTACTTGATTCCATGTTGCTGAGCAAGTGCCCTACCAGCACACGTGTAGAATGCTGGAAGCTTATTTTCTAGAAATGATTAAAAAAATAAATAAATAAATAAATAAAAGAGGATACTTTCATTTCCTGTGGTTGTAGTAAAAGAAGTCACCACAAATGGGGGTTTCAAACTTCAAAAATGTATTCTCTCTCAGTTCTAGAGGTCAGAACTCTAAAATCAGTTTCACTGAATCAAATGCAAGGTGTTGGCAGGACCTCATTTCCTCCATGAGAGAGTCCCTCCCTGACTTCTTCTAGCTTTCTCAAATGGCTGTGGCTCTCCAAACTCTGCCTGTATAGTCACACCGTCTCCTTTCCTGTGCATGTCAAATCTCCCTCTGCCTCTCTTTCACAAGGGTACAAGAGATCTCACCCAAATAATGCAATACAGTCCTACCATGTCAAGATTCTTAGTTAGATCTGCAAAGACCCTTATTTCTTATAAGGTAATATTTTCAGGTTCCAGGGATTAGGACTTGATGTGTTTTGGTGGCCATTAAAAATAGTGCCCTTGCTCTAATACAAAGAATATGTAATTTGCGAATGCCAGGCACCGTTGAGGGCATAGGTACCATAAATGACTATATGAAAAGAAACACACCAACTTCTTCCTCACTTAGCTTCCATAATGCCAAAAAAAGTGGACTCTTACCTTCCCTTAAATAGATCTAAAAGCTCTACTGTAAGGAACTTGATTAGTCCAAAAAGAAAGTTCTAAAGTTAGTGCCCCCAAAATGCCCCCACCACCAGATTATTCTGCAGTGAAGCTCAAAGTCAACAAATCAGATCCACATGATCACAGTCTCCATTCAGTCTTTTATTCTTCCACTCTTAATCACAGGCATACAGAGATTGCCAGATATCTGAGAGAAGCTTCAAACATGGAAGATAGACTCTAAAATAAACAAACAAAAAGCAAATACCTCTTTGGGGGTAGCAGGCTATTCAAGGAAAGAAGCTTACTTTTTATAGTAGTGATAGCCTCTGAACAATAAAAACAGATGGAAACATTTAGAGACCTGAAAGAACAATAAAAAAATTTAAGAATTGAAAGACTTAAACTAAAATTATCTACCCATTCAGTCCATCAACATATAAATAGAGAAAATAAGCCATTTTCAGATTTGCAAAATACCAAATTTTTGATTTTCTCGTAACCTTCCTCAAAAAGTTATTGAGGATGTTTACTCTGAACCAAAATGGAGTAATAGAAACTAGATTTAATCTCTTCCTTGATACAAACAAAAAAAGACAAAAATAATGAGAAAGCCATTTGAAAGACACAACATCAGGCAACAAAGGTAAATCCTAATATTACCCCAGTTTACCACCTTGAGAGTTTACAGATCCAAAATGAGTGATGAAAAACTCAGATGGAGCCCAGAGGCTCCCTGAGTTGAGGACACAGAGATGAGACTCCAGAGAGATGAAGAACGAAGTTAGAGTTTCTAGGAAAGAGTACCAGAGAGGAGAGAGCTCACAGGACGAAACCCAGAGAACTGCAGAATGTGCCCCACAAGTAGCGATCAGTGCTATAAGTGAGAAGACTACCCAAAGTAGGGGGGAAAACACCCAAAAGGGCAGTGTTAACAGCATCTGCTTCTCACACAGGGATGGTAAGAGGACCTCATCTCACCCAGCAATCTGGGAAACCTCTTTGTTTACAGGCATTGGATAGGATACACAGAAGGATCTCATCTCTGGAGTACTTTTCCAGCCCTCTTAACACATCCAAGAAGCAAAAACTCAAAGGATCAATCTGCTTTCAAGTAACTTGACTGCATGCTCAAAAAAACTCAAGAATATTTATAGGAAACAAAAGTGCACCGGACCCAAAAAAGGAAAATGCATAATATCCATCAACCAATCAAAAATTGCCAGTCAGACAAAAAGCAGGAAAATGTGATTCATTGTAAAGCAATAGAGCAATCAATATTAAACTGACCCAGAACTGAAAAAGATGTTAGAATTAGCAGACACATACATTTAAAATGTTATTGTTACTATATTCCATATGTCCAGAAAATTGAGTAGACACATGGAAGATATCTTTTTTAACTCAAATCAAACATCTAAAGATGAAGATACTGGAGAAAAAATGAACTTGAAGATATAATAATAGAAACTATCCAAATATGAAACATAGAGAAAAAAAGAAAATGAATTTTTAAAAAACCATTGGTAGCTGTGAGACAACTTCAAGCAGCCGAACATATGTGTATTTAGAGTCTTCCATGGAAAAGAGAAAGAGGAGGAAAAAGAACAAATATTTTAATAAATAACCTCAAAAACTATCCAAATTTGATGAAAACTATAAATCCACAGTCTAAAAAGTTCAATGAACCCTGAACACAAAAAATGTGAGGAAAACTGCATAAGAATACATCATAATAAAATTGCTAAAAGCCGGTGATAAACAGAAAGTCTTAAAAGCAGCCAAAGTAAAAGCAAACACTATGTTCAGATGAAGAGACATCAAGATAAGAGCATATTTTTTGTTGGAAACAATGCAAGTGAAAAGACAGGAGAGTAATATATTTAAAGTACTAAAGGAAGAGAAAACTGTCAACTTAAAAATCTATACCTGAGAGATAATATCTTTGAAAATATCAATGAAAATAAAAGATTATTTTCGAAGTCAAAATAAAGATTATTTTCAGACATACAAAAGCCACAGGAATTTATCTCAAACATACCAACAAATAATTAAGTTGAACAAATTCCTAATATTTGAAAACAAAAAAAATCACTTTCTAAATAATTCATAGGCCTAAAAAAATTAAAAGAACAAATTCGAGTGTATTTTAAACAGAATAAAAATGAAAGTGTGTTTTAAAAAGAATAAAAATAGAAGTGCAATTGTTATGGGTTAAATTGTGCCCTCACCCCAAATTATGTTCTTACCCTTAGTACACCAAAATGTGACTTTATTTGAAAATAGGATCATTACAGGTATAATCACTTAAGTTAAGATAAGGTCATACTGGATAGGGAAGGCTCTTAACCCAGTTTGGTTGGTGCCTTTGCAAGAAAAGGAGAAAAGACACACACAGAGAGAATACCAACTGATGACAGAGACAGAAATTAGAATGATAAACCACCAAGCTAAGGAATACCAAGGATTGTTACCACCACCAGAAACTAAGAAAGGACAAGGAAAGATTCTGCCCAGTGACTGCAGGAGAACATTTTGGTGACATTTCGACTCTGGACTTCTAGCCTCCAGAACTGTGAGAGAATAAATTACTGTTGTGTTAAGTGATGCAGCATGTGGTACTTTGTTACAGAAACCCTAGAAACTAATATAACATATCAAAATGTATGGGATGCCCTTAAAATAGTACTTAACATTTAATTTAACCTACTTAATATTTATACTTGAAAATAAAAGTGATCTTGTCAATGACATTAGCTTCCAAAGCAGGAAGAGGAGAAGGAAAAAAATAAGTATCTGTGCAGAAATCAATTATCTAGAAATCACGAAACAAGTCAATGAAACCCAAAACCCAAAACTCAAAACAGCATGGTACTGGTACCAAAACAGATATATAGACCAATGGAACAGAACAGAGGCCCCAGAAATAACACCACACATCTACAACCATCTGATGTTTGACAAACCTGATAAATACAAGCAATGGGGAAAGGATTCCCTATTTAATAAATGGTGATGGGAAAACTGGCTAGCCATATGCAGAAAACTGAAACTGGATCCCTTCCTTAAACCTTACACAAAAATTAACTCAAGATGGATTAAAGACTTAAATGTAAGACGTAAAACCATAAAAACCTTAGAACAAAACCTAGGCAATACCATTCAAGACATAGGCATGGGCAAGGACTTCATGTCTAAAACACCAAAAGCAATGGCAACAAAAACCAAAATAGACAAATGGGATCTAATTAAACTGAAGAGCTTCTGCACAGCAAAAGAAACTATCATCAGAGTGAACAGGCAACCTAGAGATTGGGAGAAAACTTTTGCAATCTATCCACCTAACAAAGGCTAATATCCAGAATCTACAAAGAACTTAAACAAATTTACAAGAAAAAAACAAACAACTTCATCAAAAAATGGGTGAAGGATATGAGCAGACACCTCTCAATTGAAGACATTTATGCAGCCAACAAACTTACGAAAAAATGCTCATCATCACTGGTCATTAGAGAAATGCAAATCAAAACCACAATGAGATACCGTCTCACACCAGTTAGAATGGCAATCATTAAAAAGTCAGGAAACAACAGATACTGGAGAGGATGTGGAGAAATAGGAATGCTTTTACACTGTTGGTAGGAGTGTAAATTAGTTCAACCATTGTGGAAGACAGTGTGGTGATTCCTCAAGGACCTAGAATAAGAAATACCATTTGACCCAGCAATCCCATTACTGGGTATATACCCAAAGGATTATAAATCATTCTACTGCAAGGACAGATGCACACGTATGATTATTGCAGCACTGTTCACAATAGCAAAGTCTTGGAACCAACCCAAATGCCCATCAATGATAGACTGGATTAAGAAAATGTGGCACATATACATCATGGAATACTATGCAGTCATAAAAAAGGATGAGTTCATGTCCTTTGCAGGGACATGGATGAAACTGGAAACCATCATTCTCAGCAAAGTAACACAGGAACAGAAAACCAAACACCGCATGTTCTCACTCATAAGTGACAGCTGAACAATGAGAACACATGGACACAGGGAGGGGAGCATCACACGCTGGGGCCTGTCAGAGGGTGGGGGGCTGGGGGAGGGATAGCATTAGGAGAAATAGCTAATGTAAATGACGAGTTGATGGGTGCAAGAAACCAGCACGGCACATGTATACCTATGTAACAAACCTGCATGTTATGCATATGTACCTCAGAATTTAAAGTATAATTTAAAAAAGAAGAGGAAAGAAAATTTACATTCTAGCCAGACTGATCAGAAAAAAAAACAATGAAAGAGAAGACACAAGTTACCAACATAAAAAATGAGAGAGGTAGCACCACTATAAATTCTATGAATATTTAAAGAATAATAAGAAAACATTGTGAACATATTTGTGGCAACAAATTGACCAATTTAGATGAAATGAAAGATTCAATATTATTGAGATGTGTATTCTCCCCAGTTTATAGATTCAACACAATCCCAATCAAAATCCTAGCAAGGCTGTAGAAACTTACAAGCTGATTCTAAAATTTATATGGAAATGCAAATAATCTAAAATACTCAAAACAACCTTGAATAAAAAGCCAAAATAGGAGAATTGACACTACACATGATATGAAGATTCATGATAAAGCCATAGTAATCAAGATGATGCTATTGGCATCACACAAGATAAACATGTAGATCAATGAAACAAAAAGTGCTCAGAAATAAGTTCACACGTGTATGGACAATGACTTTCAACAAAGATGCAAAGGCACAATTAATTGGAAAAGGACAGTCTTTTCAAAAAGAGTACTGGAAAAATTTAATTTCCATATGGAATAAACAAACTTTGATCCATATCTCACACTGTATAAAAAATTAATTCAAAATAGATTATGCATTTAAATGTAAAATCTATAAGAAGTATAAAAACTTCTAGAATACAGCATAGGAGAAAATTTAGGTGACTGAGTTAAACAAGGTTTTATTACTTACTATACAAAAAGAACAATTTATAAAAGAACATGTGTTAGTCCATTTTCATGCTGCTGATAAAGACATACCCAAGACTGGGCAATTTACAAAAGAAAGAGGTTTAATTGGACTCACAGTTCCACATGGCTGGGGAGGCTTCAAAATCATGGTGGAAGGCAAGGAGGAGCAAATTATGTCTTATGTGGATGGCGGCAGGCATAGAGAGCGAGCTTGTTCAGGGGAACTCCCATTTTTAAAAAACATCAGATCTCAGAGACTCACTCACCATCACAGGAACAACACAGGAAAGAGCCGCCCCCATGATTCAACCACCTCCCGCCAGTTTCCTCCCATGGCATGTGAGAATTGTGGAAGTTACAATTCAAGATGAGATCTGGGTGGGGACACAGCCAAACTATATCATAACACATTTATAATTTTTACTTCATCAAAACTTAAAACTTCTGCACTTCAAAAGGCTTTTTAAAAATTTTTTGAGACGGGACTGGAGTGCAGTGGCACAATCTCAGCTCACTGCAGCCTCCATCTTCTACAATCCTCCCACCTTAGCTTCCCAAGTAGCTGGGACTACAGGTGTGTACCACTACATCCAGCCAACTTTTTCTTTTTTTTGGTAAAGATGAGGTCTCACTATATTGCCCAGGCTGATCCCCAACTCCTGGACTCAAGCAGTCCTCCACCTCAGCCTTGCAAAGTGCTGGGATTACAAGCATGTGCCACTGTGCCTGGCCAAAAGACTATTAAAGATTAAAAATACTATTAAAATAATTTTAAAAAGCAGCTTAACTAATGAAATAAAATATTTACAAATCATGTATCTGATAGGGGAATTTTACTCAGAATATATAAATAACTCTAAATCTCAATAATTAAAAAACATAATCCACTAAAAATATGGGCAAAATATTTTAGTAAACATTTAACTAAAGAAAATATACATGACAAGAGAATTTTTAAAAATCCTCAATAACATTAGTCACTAAGATAATGCAATTTAAAATCACAATGAGATTACAAATACAAACCTATTAAAATGGCCAAAATTTGAACCCCTGAACATACCAAGTGTTGGAAAGGATGTGAAGGAATTGAAACTCTTGTTTGCAGCTGGTGAGACTGCAAAATGGTGGGATGACTCTGTAGAGCATTTTGGCAGTTTCTTAAATAGTTAAAAATACACCCACCATATGATCCAGCTATTCTACGTCTAGATAGTTACCCAAGAGAAATTTTAAAATATTTTCATACAAAGATACATATGAATGTTTACAGCAGCTTTACTTGTAATAGCCAAAATTGAGAAGCAACCAAAATATCTACTATCAGTTAAGTGGATAAACAAACTCTGGGATATCTAACTTTAAAAATACAAAACAATAAAAAGGAATGTTCTATTGATACATATTACATGAACGAATCTCAAAATATGCTGAGTAAAATCAGCCAGATTTTTGTAAAGTACATGCTACATAATTCTAGTCACATAAATTCTAGGCAGTGCAAAGCAAATAGCAACAAAAAGAACAGTAGTTGCCTAGGTGTGGTGTTAAAATGATTGGGACACAAAATGAGGAAAATTTGAGCACCACAATAATTAATGATAGTAATGTATTATAATACCTTTTTAAATGCATGACTATTTAAAAAAGAAAAAGTGACCAAAAAATTAAGAAAAGGAGAAAGAAAGCCTCTACTTTGGAAAAGAATGTCAGGTAGCAAATTAAAAATAAATGAGACAATCAGAAAAATAACATTTTGCAAACTGCAATATAATGACTGAATCAGGAAAAGTCATCGATGAATGTAAAAAATGATTTATACTTCTACATATTTTATATTTTCACACTTGAAAAATGACTAACCTTTGTAAATCTAATAAGTTTATATTTGTTGATATTTCTTACCCATGTGTAGGTCTTCTTTGTTTGAACAAACTTAAACTTGCACATTTCTCTTGTAATACAAAGCAGTTCTGATAAAGGTATATTAAGCTACAAACACATGACAGAATTTTCTAGAGAAGACTTTCTTTGATACAAATAATTCTGGCAACAGTAAGCAGGTTATTTATAACTCCTGTTCTAATCTAGAAAATAACTTAGATCTCTGTTTCAAACACTTTTACATATTGAGATACACATTCACAAGAGTCAATAAAGAAAAATGCTTTTATACTATGTTTTCTGAGATTTTTGTGCTAATGACAACAATAAGTATAAAATCTTCTTCAATTTCTATATGTTTGCTGAGATTGAAGCAAAGAAATTGGTTGTTTATCTTCTATTCTTCTTGCTATCTTTGATAGCTGGCATTTCTTTCTACAGAAACAAAAATAAAGTAGAAAAAACCCTCAAATGTCATTGACATGTTTTCAGCAGCTAAGTATGAAATTTAAACATTTCACCTCTGGCAATTTCAGTATTATTTTATATCAATTATCTAGGGAATTACTTCTTTATTTAGCTCTAGGTATAAAAAGGAGTAAAATTCCTCCAGTGATTGAAGCTACTGACAGAATTCTGCTAGGAATTTTGAACATACATCTCTTCCTCTCTCCTTTCAGCAGCAAAGTACGTGGGGAAATTATGTCAATTATGAATTTTTCTGTTATACTTAAAATACATCCTAAGTTTTAAAAAAATTAAAGCTTGATGCCGCTGGAAAGTTTATTAGTTATTATTAAGAGCCTGAAATAAATGAAGAGGCAAGTCCACCAAAAACAAAAATCCAAAACACAGAAAAATAGTATAACTCTTAAGAAAACAAAGTAGATTTTAATTATTTTTATTTTTTATTTTTAAAAGGAATCAATTAAGAAGAGAGAAGGATTTAGATTGTTTTTCTTTATTTTTCCAATTTTTACTAAGAATATATTTCTCAGTTACTGCTTCCTATGTCTGCCCAACAAAGATAATTGGAAATTTCCTGCCAATTTAATCTAAGGAGATTGTGTACTTGTTCAATGTACACCACTCTGTTTCCACACCAAATGGTCTCACATCAATTGGGCATATTGCATTTCAGTTACAACACTAAGTTATCATCAGACTCCACAGGATTAAGGGCTGAATTTTGCACAGGATTGCTCTCACTGTAGATGCCAGCTGCTAGACTTTGGGGATCCTCAAGTCACCTGCACTTCTGACCAATTGGTTATTAATTCAGGAAGTCCCCATGACATACATAAGAGGACTAGACAAAGATATTGAAATGGCAAGGTCTGGCAGGGGATACAGAGCCTCTATGACATCTCCCATGGAGTCAGGGCACATCACCCTCACAGCACATCTATTTGCCAACCAAGCAGCTCCCCTGAACTTCGGCATTCAGAGTTTTTATTAGAGTTTCATGTTTTTAAGCGAGACTGATTAAATCATTGGCCATGTGATTAAACATAATTTTCAATCCCCCTTTCCTCTCTTGAGGTCAGGCTGGCCTTTCTGATGGCCAGCCCCCATTTCGAAGCTATCTAGGGGCCCATCATGTGTTGCACCATATCAGCATAACAAAGACATTCTTATACTTCATGAAATTGTAAGGATTTTAGGAGCTCCATGCCAAGAACTCAGGACAGAGACCAAATTCTTTATAATACTACATGTTCTTGGTGCCTTTGATTAACTGTGTGAAACACAACCTGTTCCCACCATTGCCTATTGTCTATTATCTAATCAATAAGATCAAGCATATGACTTTACTCATGCAGGAAATTCTTTCCCAATAAGATAAAGTTGCAACTAATACACAGTTCAACTAGCTTCCTCTCAAAATAATAGATTGTTTATCAGTGTAAATGAGTCTTCCTGTGGACAATATACAACTCAAAAGGCCAAATTACTTGTTTATCAAATGACTAATTATCAAGACTTACTTTAAAACCCTCACCTTGATGTGTCAACTAATCCTAAACTATTACATCTTGCACATTGTCCAATTCCAACAACCGCCATTATTAAAAGACACACCTAAAGCCATATGCCAAAGGCTTATAATTACATGTCTTTAATCTCCCTCTTTCCAAGATACGATAAAATTCTTTCAAGAAGATGGTCTTTCTTACTGCAGAATAATAAACTTTGCTAAATCAATTTATTATTTCAGTGGTCTTTTCAAGGAGCTGGCCATCAATAATAGCCACTGAAACTTTTCTTTCTGTAAAACTCCAAAAGGGTAGCCCTTCTCCCCTTGACCTAGCTTTCTAGAAAAGATTCTGATATGGAATATTGCTGATACTCAGACTACTGCTATTTCTGTGATCAGGAAACTGTCCTTTCTCTCTGACCCAGGAGTCTAGTACCTACTGATGAAACTGTAAGACTATTTAAGCTTGCAGGTAAGGTAAAATCTTAGACCCTTCACAGTTCTTGATAATCTATTATATTAGAAAACAGGAATTAAAAATTTCTAGGTAATTTCATATGAGTGATTCTACTCTTAGGTGTCTATTTTATATGAAAAGACAAAATAGAAAATGGATTTGACACAAATCCATTAAGCTTAACTTTTAGTAGCGTTAGATCTTTTAATTTTTTTTATCCTATGATTCCATTTATCTTGAGCTTATCATTCATTTGGTCCTTGGCTTTTGGTCTTTGTTTAGGGGCTGCAGAGGCTTCACTGGTTCATTTCTTTCCTTGGTGACATTGTCCAAAGACCAGGTGGTAGTCAGGTTTTTAGGTAGATTGCTGGACTCAGTATTATTCTGCAGCCCATAAGAAGAAATACTGTTTTTATCTCCTAGGTCACTAAAGGCATCTAAGTGTCTTGGTTGATTCTTCTGAACTAAGCCACTTAGTTCATTGAGTCTCTCCTTTCTGCAGGTAAGATGTCAATATTTACCCTCCTGATTGTGGCTAGTGACCACACAGTATTACTCATGCATGGTTTCTAGGCATGGCCTTTCAGACTGGCAGGTAACTTCAAGGGACCCATGACTATGGCTTTTGCTTCGAACAAACATTTTTCTTCATTCATTACATACATCCCACAGCCCTTGAACAGTGTGATTGGGGGTGGGTCACTCATGATTTCATTCTGTCTTTCTAGAAACCACTATAACAACAGATTTGGATTTAGAGTAATCACTTTTAATGTTATTTTTGGAAAACTTTGTCTTTGTAGCCTTCAAAAACAAGATTTGGTGCTTTACATTAGACTGTTTTGGGATGCTCCTCACAGAGGGTCTTTCTTCAGGACTTCCGTTCTGCACTGTTATTATCAGTTCTGCCAGCTCTGGGCTATAATCTATTGGTATCTCTGGCAGCTTTTCTTCAATAATTTCATAAACTAAAGAATTGGTATTTTTACATTGAAAGTATGCTTTGGGTGACCATTTCACAAACACAGCATCCCAGAGTCCAAACATCAGACTTATAGCTCTAGTGTTTGTTTGAGAATAATTGAGGACTCATGTAGTAAGGTGTGCCAGTGAGGGTACTAACCATGTCACAGTTGCTATAGTGATCCAGGGTGGGGCACTGCCCTCAGACACTTGATTTTAAGTAGTCCATAGAATATCAAAGAAAGAGTTGGTCACCAAATACAGATTTTTAAAATAAATGTAAACCATTAGCATATATAGATAAAATATAAAAATGAATGCAAATAATTTGGTTTTTCTAGAAAGCATCTAGTATTATGTTATTCAAAATAATATTGTTCACAGTATTTATTGTCTTGATCGAAATGTTAGTTTTCTTTTGACTTAATTTTAGTTTCTGTTTAATTCCTAGGAAGGCTATTGGTTTAAAGAAAAAGTCTTACCACTCAAAAATATGAGTTGATAAAGACAGTAAAAACCATGTGTTATCATCTTTGTGCAGTTTACAAGACACTGTGCCCATAATAATACATTCTCAATAAAGAATAAAGGAAGGAAAAATATAAGAAAGGGAAGAAGAAATGGTGAAAAAGAATCAT
Source organism: Homo sapiens (assembly GCF_000001405.40). Taxonomy (NCBI): domain Eukaryota; kingdom Metazoa; phylum Chordata; class Mammalia; order Primates; family Hominidae; genus Homo; species Homo sapiens. The sequence goes on from NT_187628.1 coordinate 64,925, forward strand.
AAAAACAAAGATAAACTCATGAATCAATAAAAGAGAGAAGAAAAGGGAAAAGTAAAAGAAGAAAAACATAAAGAGGGAGGGGAAGATCATGAAAGACAAGAAAAAAGACGAAAGATAATTTTTTTCTATAACACAACAGTAACATGGCAAGGAATTCTCAACTCTCAAGATTTACTGAAATTTTGACAGAACTCAGAGAGACTGTAGAATGTGTGCTTGAAACGTGAATGAAGAAAAGAGAAACAAATCAGATAATGGGCATAAGGTAGACTCTTATCCGAATGTACAAAAGTGAGTGGGTATATTTTTTTAAAAATAAAGACAGTTTTATGGTATGAATGTGTCTCCCAAAATTCATATGATAGAACTTAATCACCAATGTGATTTTACCAAGATGTGGAGACTTTAGGGAGTTATTAAGTCATGAAAGCAGAGTCATCATGGATGAGATTAGAGCCATTAAAAAAGGGCTTGAAGGAGTAGGTTCTTTCTCTTCCCCTCTTCTGCGATGTGAGGACACTGCTTTCAAGGCAGTTCCAAGTTTCATCTTGGAAGCAGAGGCTGGAGCCCTCACCAGACACTAACCTGCAGCCACTTTGATCTTGGACTTCACTGTTTCCAGAACCATGAGGAAATAAATTTCTTTATAAATTACACAGTCTCAGGTATTTGTTATAACAGTACAGATAAACTAAGAAAGACAATGATTTTGCATCTATATCTTGAAGAAAATAAGGAATAGTATGTAAACAACTGTTTAAAGTGTTTAAAACAGTCTATTCCATTGAAACACTGTTACACATTAGAATATATTTTTATATTAATTTTTTCTCTTTTCTAAGAACAGGATCCTCACTTTGCATGGCCTAAAACCTCAATTTGCAGGAAGCAGTGTGGAGAGTGGTAGAGCAGCAGTCCCCAACCTTTTTGGCACAGAGACCGGTTTCATGGAAGTCAATTTTTCCATGAATGGAGGGGGTAGACACTCACATCATCAGACATTAGTTAGATTCTCATAAGGAGCAGGCAACCTAGATCCCTCACATACACAGTTCACAATAGGGTTCATGCTCCTATAAGAATCTAATGCCACCACTGATCTGACAGGAGGCAGAGTTCAGGCAGCAGTGCTCACTGGCCTGCCACTCACCTCTTGCTGTGCAGCCCAGTTCCTAACAGGCCCAGGGTTTGGGAACCTCTGTGGTAGTGTCTGAGAAAGTAGATTTATGATGCTGTAGAAGAAATGCCAATATAAAAGCTGAGATGATACTTAACTCCTAACAAGTAACCAGAATTTTGCAGCCAAACCATTGCCTTATAAGTCCTTGGTTTCTACATGGCCAAAAACAGAATCCAAAACTTAGGTAGAGTTTAGCTGGAGGGACTCACACAGAGTGACCATATAGCTACAGAAGAGCTCTGCAGTGAGAGCTGTTGAGTGCAGAGTCACAGTCATTACTCAGAGCCCATCCTTTTATCTCTTCATTCATTTAGTGACTGTGCATGCTCTTTGCCACTTGCTTTTACCCAGGCAACATTGTATAGTCTTGAAAATTCACCAACTGTCATCTCATATGTAAGCTCTTTTCTGATTCATCACACTGATTTAGAAGACTCTTGTCTGTACTTCCACGGCACCATGTGAAAAATATCTATTATATTCCATATTATACCATGTTTTAACTCTTCTTTTAAAGCTGTGCATCTTCCTCAATGACTGTAAATTTTTTAAGAGAACACACCATTTATAATTTCATGGCATATACATATATATATGTATATATATATGTATATATATCTATGTATATATATATATATGTATATATATCTCCATGTATATCTCATTAAATGTTGAGTGAATAAAATCAGGCTATAATTCTGGCAAAGTATATTAATGTTTTTAAGACTTCAACAATATGGCTTTTTAAACTTAAGCTGGTTTGACTGAGTTTTTTATATCCTTCAGAAGCTTAAAGTCTCACCATCTAGAGTTAAAAGGAAATGCTTTGTGATGGAATCTCCATTTTTTTCATGTAAATTCAACCAAATAATTTTAATTTTACACATAAGAGATATTTTGGTCTTCTAAAATGTATCTTTATTATTATGGAAGTGATTTTTTTCCTTTACTGATTTTCTGGTTGGGAAATATGGGCATTTTCTTTTGTTTTGAACTTACTTCCTTTTCTTTACGTGGTGGATTCAGCCTAAACATAAAATAAAAGTTAAGAGAGATAGAATCAATCATCAGGGAATAAAACAGAGAAAGAAATCAACAAACATGTCCTTCCTTTTTTTTCTATGAATGATATAGTGAACAGAAATCAGGACAATAACAAGCAAAATGACTTAATGAATCCAAGTAGTTCTCTTATGTTGGCTTAGAATTATAGCATGTTGAATCCAATGAGTGATTAATATTCAATACAGTTGTGAACGCTCCATGTATGAAAAATTGTGTATGGTATAATTCAGAAATAAAGGCCAAAGCTCCACTAAGTTAAAATTGGCTAGAGTTGCACTAGATTTAAACTATTAAAAAATTCACAAAACTTAACCCAGTTTTATATATGACACCCAAACTTTGCACTGGTCAAATTTTGTCTTAAAAATGTGAGGGTTGGAGCTGTTTCTTACAACTTAAGCTATATGTAGACAAATAGCTTCATCAGTCCACATAATATTCCCATTGTTTTAATGTTGTGGGCTACATCTGGAGCTATCAGAATAAATCTGAATACTGCTTCAAGCTGGGGGTGTAAGCTAACACCACAAAGAATCTGGCTCACTGTAGGAAGGCCAGGACTCGCAAAAGGCCAGGTGACAGTGAAGCAGGCTTGAAAGCATAAGAGTGTCATGTTCCTTGTTCATTTCATACCCTACTAATGTTTCCATTCATGTGTGAGCCCCAGCAGCAGAAAATCTAGTAGAACATAGAGATAGAGAGTGCCAACATTTCATCAGGTGAGCAGCAGTCATATTCAGATACCTTTCCAGTATAAGCGGGATCGGCCAGCATTCTGTAAGGAGAGGAGGAAAGAATAGGCCCTGATGCAGAGATCAGAAAGATCTAAGAAGATTCCCAGCCAAGAAATCAACAGCCACTTAGGGCCTTTGCTGAAAAGGAGGACAAGGGAATTGCTGAATTGTCCCCAATAGGATGTTTATGTTAGAGATTCTGAAAAAGAGCCAAGGCTGACTTATGGCAAGAAAGTCTTCCTACTGGACTCTAGTGAATAATGTTGTGTATGTGAGAACTCTGCAGCAACTGCATCACAGAACGGTATCTCCCTCTCCCAATTCTGCTTCCTTCACCAGCCTACAGAGCTGTTTCTGAAAACACTCCTGTAGACTATCAAGTCAGTGTGTGAGAAGTTCTGTTATAGCACATTTATGTATTTTCCCTTTTCTTCCTTTCTTCTTTCTAATTAGACAAACCTACAAAGGATTCGAAGTAGCTATGGAACACCATATAGGAAATTAAATACCAGCAGTTAGAAAAATCTTTCTTCCTTACTTACAACAAAACAATGTTAATGTTAGCTACAGTTTTATTCTAAAGAAAAAAAAAGAATGCAAATTTTATTTATTTTTGATCATTCAAAACATTTAAATCTATAACTGGTATGGTCTCTGGAATCTAGACTTAGAATTTAAATTAGCTTAAAACATTATTTCTGCTAACTCTGCAGTATCAACATAATTACTAAGGAAAATTTAAATTTTCTATTACACTGTAATTTCTCCTCCATTCTACAGTGAGATAAACTGCAGCCTCTTAAGCTTTCAAATACACTAAACTTTCTAAAGTGAATTTTAAAAAGGAAAAACTGGATTATTTTAGCAAATCAATAATTATTTACAAGTAGATTCATAGATCAGATTAGACTAGATTCGACTGATAGATATAACACATTCATAAGAAACCAAAATTGTTGGATTCAAATAGTAAAAGTAACTAAGTAGATAAATTCAGACTTCCAGATGAAATATGAATTCTTTATGAAATAATAAGATATCGCTATTTGTGGCAATAAAATTTGGATGCTAATAGCGCAAAGGAAGTTTTATAAATGAAATAAGCATGGTCAAAATTAGTCTAACACCTCTGACCACAACTCTTGTTTTTGTTGAAACACAATATAATTAAGCCAATACTGACCTGGAAATTTTATAGCTTGCCATTCATCTTCTCCAAAATAAATTGATTAATGCCTGAACATATGGTGATACGACAGAAGAAAGAAATCTATTATCACTGTAGTTACAATTCAGGTTTATTATTAAAACTGTCTGCATTGGAAAAATATGTATTTTTGGGTAATTGTTTCATGGATTATATCAATGTAGGTAAGGTATTAGGTTTTTAAAGATTTCGCTTAAACCTTATGCGATTCATTATTGGCAATTTAAATTACCTCGATAATCAGTTTTCAATTACTAAATTAAGATCATTATAACATAGTCCAAAAAATGACAATTTAGTTTTAATAGGAAAGAAATAAACTGTCAACTAGGCATGTCTGGAGATATGATCAATTACGTTAAGTGATTTGACCAATATGGCTGCATGGGAAGAACATTTCTGACCCTTTTTGGTCAGGCCAAGTATTTTTTTGTCAATAGTTGTCAGTAGTTGATCTAAACACTTAAGAAAAGTGACATTTTACTCTGAAGATAATCAGCAAAATACAGAACAAATTATGGAGATAAATGTAAGTATATGTGTGCAGGAATACATCCTGAATATACCAAAACAGGGCACATATTTGCCTTTTTATAACTTTTTTTAAAAAAAGGAAAGTTGGGGATTAAGATGGCAGATAGGAGGCAGGACTAGCTTGCAGCTTCCGCTTGGACAGACAGAGCAGCATGTGGAGATTCACATCATGAACTTCTCCAAAAACTACGGCAGGAGCATAACCAGGAAAGCCAAGAGAATCCACAGACCCTTTGAAGGAACTGAATCACCAATGCAGGCTCCCTGAGATGCTGAAAAACTGTGAGTCCACTTGCTTTCTCAATGGGGAGGCTCGTGGTCTGGGGCAAGTTCTTAGTCCTGGTCTCCGGCTGCCTGAAAATCGATTCGGTGCTGTTTGGGGAACACAGTGAAAGTGAGACCAGTCTTTAGGACTGCAGGCTGTGTGAGAGCAGGGTGAGGCCTGTGACTGCCGGCTTTTCCCCACTTTCCTGGCAACCTGTATAACTCAGCAGAGGCAGCCATAATCCCTCCAGGAATATAACTCCACTGGACTGGGAATCACACTCCCATCCCCCACAGCAGCCACAGCAAGCCTCACCCAAGGAGAGGCTGAGTTCAGACACCCCTAACCCTGCCCCCACCTGGTGGTCTTTCTCTACCTACCCTGGTAGCCAAAGACAAAGGTCATAATCTTTCGGAAGCTCTATAGCCCTGTCCACTGCCTGAGAGACCTGAATACTTAACCAGGGGTCCCTAGAGCAACTTTGCGTCCTCCCTATAGGGAGGCAGTTTTGAAAGTGCCACCTCCTGGCTGGAGGCCAACCAACACAACACCAGTGCACTAAACAAAAATACAACCAAGGGCCCTCACAGAATTCACTTCACTCCCTTGCTACCTCCACTGGGGAAGGTGTGGATATCATGGCTGCAAGACCTGAAGATGGATCACATCACAGGACTCTTCACAGACACTCCCCAGTACCAGCCCGGAGCCTGGGAGCTCTGCTGGGTGGCTAGACACAGAATATCAAAAACAGTCACTAAAGTTAGGCTCTCAGGAAGCCCCATGTCTAGGGGAAGGGGGATAACACTACATCAAGAGAGCACCCTGTGATAGAAAAGAACCTGAGCAGCAGCCCTTGAATTCCAGATATTCCCTCTGACATAGTCTACCCAAGTGACAAGGAACCAGAAAAACAATTTTAGTAATATGACAAAACAAGATTTGTTAACACCTGCAAAAGATCATATCAGCTCACCAGCAATGAACCCAAACCAAGATGAAATCTCTGAATTGCCAGAAAAAGAATTCAGAAGGTCAATTATTAAGCTAATCAAGGAGGCACCAGAAAAAGGTGAAATCCAACTTAAAGAAATCAAAAACATGATGCAGGATTAGAAAGCAAATTTCTTCAGTGAAATAGATAGCATAAATAAAAAACAATTACAACTTCTGGAAATCAAGGACACAGAGAAATACAAAATGCACTGGAAAGTCTCAGCAATAGAATCAAACAAGCAGAAGAAAGATCTTCAGAGCTCAAAGAAAAGTCTTTCAAATTAACCTAATCCAACAGAGACAAAGAAAAAAGAGTTTTTAAAAAAAATGAAGAAGAACTCCAAGAAGTTCGGAACTATGTGAAACATCCAACCCTAAGAATAATTGGTGTTCCTAGGGAAGAAGAGAATCTAAAAGTTTGCAAAACATATTTGAGGGAATAATCTAGGAAATATTCCCTGCCCTTGCTAGTGATCTAGACATCCAATAAAAGTAGCTCAAAGAACACCTTGGAAATTTATCACAAAAAGATTGACACCTAGGCACATAGTCATCAGGTTATCTAAAGTCAAAATAAAGGAAACAATCTTAAAAGCAGTGAGGCAAAAGGATCCAGTAACCTATAAAGGAAAACCTACCAGACAAACAGCAGATTTCTCAGCAGAAACCCTATAAACTAGAAAGGATTGGGGTCCTATTTTTAGGCACCTTAAACAAAATAATTATCAGCCAAGAAATTTGTATCCAGAGAAACTAAGCTGCATAAATGAAGGAAAAATGGTCTTTTCCAGACAAACAAGTGCTTAGAGAATTCACCACTACCAAGCTAGCACTACAAAAACTGCTAAAAGGAGCTCAAAATCTTGAAACAAATCCTCAAAATACACCAAAATAGAACTTCCTTAAAGCATAAATCTCAGAGGACCTATATAAAAACAATACAATGAAAAATGGACTTAAACTACACCCTTCAACAAGTGGATTTAACAGATATTTACAGAACATTCTACTCAACAGCTGCAGAATATACGTTCTACTCATCAGCACATGAAACACTTTCCAAGATAGACCATGTGATAGGCCACAAAACAAGTCTCAGTAAATTTAAGAAAATTGAAATTATATCAAGTATTCTCTCAGACCACAGTGGAATATAATTGGAAACCAACTCCAAAGGGAACCTTCAAAACCATACAAATACATGGAAATTAAATAACCTGCTCCTGAGTGATACTTGGGTCAACAATGAAATCAAGACATAAATTTAAAAATTCTTTGAACTGAATAATAATAGTGACACAACCTATCAAAACCTCTGGGATACAGCAAAAATGGTGCTAAGAGAAAAGTTCATAGCATTAAATGCCTACATCGAAACATCTAAAAGAGCACACATAGACTATCAAAGGTCAAACCTCATGGAACTAGAGAAACAAGAACAATCCAAACCTAAACCCAGCAGAAGAAAAGAAATAACAAAGACCAGTGCAGAGCTAAATGAAATTGAAACCAAAAAAATACAAAAGATATATGAAACAAAAAGCTGGTTCTTTGAAAAGAAAAGCACTATTGATAGACCATTAGCAAGATTAACCAAGAAAAGAAGAGAGAAGATCCAAATAAGCTCAATTAGAAACAAAAAAGGAGATATTACAAATGGTAACAAAGTAATACAAAAGATTATTCAAGGCTACTATGAACACCTTTATGTGCACAAACTAGAAAACCTAGAGGAGATGGATAAATTCCTGGAAACATACAACCCTCCTAAATTAAACCAGAAAGATACAGAATCTCTGAACAGACCAGTAAAAAGCAGTGAGATTGAAATGGTAACCAAAAAAATGCCAACAACAAAAAAAATAGTACCAGATGGATTCACAGCTGAATTCTATCAACATTCAAAGAAGAATTGGTACCAATCCTATGGAAACCATTTCAAAAGATAAAGAAAGAGGGAATCCTCCCTAAATCATTCTATGAAGCCAGTATCACCTTAATACCAAAACCAGAAAAGAACATAACAAAAAAAGAAGACTACAGACCAATATCCCTGATGAATATAGAGGTAAAAATCCTCAACAAAATACTAGTGAAACAAATCCAACAGCATATCAAAAAGATAATTCACCATGATCAAGTGGGTTTCAACAGGGATGCAAGGATAGTTTAACATCTGCAAGGCAATAAATGTGATACACTACATAAACAGAATTAAAAACAAAAATTACATAATCATCTCAATAGATGCAGGAAAGCATTTGACAAAATCCAACACCACTTTTGATTAAAGCCCTCAGCAAAATTGGCATACATGGGACACACCTTAAGGTAATAAAAGCTAGTAATATCTATGACAAACTCACAGCCAATGTTATATTGAATGGGGAAAAGTTGAAAGCATTTTCTGTGAGAACTGGAACAAGACAAGGGTGCCCACTTTCACCACTTCTATTAACATACTATTGGAAGTCCTAGCCAGAACAATCAGACAAAGAGAAAGAAATAAAGGGCATCCAAATCAGTAAAGATGAAGTCAAACTGTTGCTGTTTGCAGATGATATGATCATATACCTAGAAAACCCTAAAGACTCATGCAAAAAGCTCCTAGTACTGAATAATGAATTCAGCAAAGTTTCAGGATACAAAATCAAGGTACACAAATCAGTAGGTCTGCTACACCAACAGCGACAAGATGAGAATCAAATCAAGAACTCAACCCCTTTCACAACAGCTGCAAAAAATATATATATATTTAGGAATATACCTAACCAAGGAGGTGAAAGACCACTACAAGGAAAACTACAAAATACTGCTGAAAGAAATCATAGATGACATAAACAAATGGAAACATATCCCATGCTCATGGATGGGTAGAATCAATATTGTGAAAATGACCATACTGCCAAAATCAATCTAGAAATTCAGCGCAATTCCCATCAAAATACCACCATCATTCTTCACAGAACTAGGAAAAACAATTCTAGAAGTCATATGGAACCAAAAAAGAGCCCATATATCCAAAGCAAGACTAAGCAAAAAGAACAAATCTGTAGGCATCACATTACCTGACTTCAGGCAATACTATAAGACCATAGTCACCAAAATAGCATGGTACTGGTATAAAAATAGGCACACAGACCAACGGAAAAGAATAGAAAACCCAGAAATAAACCCAAATACTTAGCGCCAACTGATCTTCAACAAAGCAAACAAAAACTTAAAGTGGGGAAAGGACAACCTATTCAACAAATGGTGTTGGGATAATCGGCAAGCCACATGTAGAAGATTGAAACTGGATCCTCATCTCTCACCTTATACAAAAATCAATTCAAAATGGATCAAACACTTAAATCTAAGACCTGAAACCATAAAGATTCTAGAAGATAACATTGGAAGAACCCCTCTATACATTGTCTTAGGCAAAGACTTCATGACTTAGAATCCAAAAGCAGATGCAACAAAAATAAAGATAAATAAATAGGACTTAAACTAAAAAGCTTCTGCACAGCAAAAGAAATAATCAGCAGAGTTAACAGAAAACCCACAGAGTGAGAGAAAACCTTCGCAATCTATACATCCAACAAAGGACTAATATCCGGAATCTACAAAGAACTGAAACAAATCAGCAAGATAAAAAGAAGCAATCCCATCAAAAAGTGGGCTAAGGACATGAATAGACAATTGTCAAAACAAGATATACAAATGGCCAACAAACACATGGAAAAATGCTCAACATCACTAATGATCAGGGAGATGCAAATCAAAACTGCAGTGTAATACCACCTCACTCCTACAAGAATGGCCATAATCAAAATAGATGCTGGCACAGATATAGCTAAAACGGAACACTTTTACATTGTTGGTGGGAATGTAAACTAGTACAACCACTATGGGAAACAGTGTGGAAATTCTTTAAAGAACTAAAAGTAGATCTACTGTTTGATCCAGCAATTCCACTACTAGGTATCTAGCCAGAGGAAAAGAAGTCATTATACAAAAAAAGATACTTGCACACACATATTTATAGCAGCACATTTTGAAATGGCAAAAAATATGAAAATAGCCCAAATGCCCATCAATCAATGAGTAGATAAAAAAAATTGTGTGTGTGTGTGTGTATATATACATATATATATAAAGAAATTGTGTGTGTATGTATATATATATATATACACCATGGACTACTACTAAGCCACAAAAAGGAACAAAATAATGGTATTAGCAGCAACTTGGATGGAATTGGAGACTTATTCTAAGTGAACAAACTCAGGAATGGAAAACCTAACATTGTATTTTCTCACTCATATGTGGAAGCTAAGCTATGAGTGCACAAAGACATGAGAATAATAGACTGGACTTTGGAGACTCAGGGGTAAGGGTGGGAATGGCAAAAGATAAAAGACTGCATATTGGGTACAGTATACACTGCTCGGGTGATGGGTGCACCCAAATCTCAGAAATCACCACTAAAGAACTTATCCATGTAACCAAACACTACCTATTCCCCAAAACCCTGTTGGAATAAAAAATAAATAAATAAAAAGGGAAAAATTAATATGACTTATAGCACACAACTGAAGTAAAAATATGAGTTTTATCCTTAAGCACAGAACAGTAATAGGAAATTTAGGCCTGTATTGAATCCATACTGGTGACTTATTTTTTCCGTATTATTAAACAAGCTGTTAAACTCTCTGAAAATCCATTATTATTTTCCTCTGTACAATAAAAAAAAATTACCTCTACCTTGAAGAGTTGTGAAAATTTGGAAGAATGTATACAAATGACTAGAGGCACTACCAGGCACATAGAATGCACTCTTTATATTTACTTCCTTCCCTCCCTACTTCCCATTCTGTTACTAGTACACTATGAAGTTTTTAACCAATCACTTTTGGGGTCTCAGTTTTACCTCTATAAACAAGCAAGGCCAAGCTATTTTGACAATTTATAGTCCCAATGTTATGACACATTGTTAGGTCATGAGTAAGTGGGCAATGTGTCACAAGTAGTCCAACCTAATATTAATAATAATTAAATTACCAAAATTTACAAATAAGTTTCTTTTAAAATGTACAATTATAACATCAAAATAAGTCATTAGTACTTCCACTTGCTTTTGAGATGGAGCATATGAAGTAGTTTCGGATGATAAAGATGGAATTGCTCTAATGCATAGGCTACTTTGTCTCACATAATAGCATTGATGTACCCTTAATAGTTGGATGATTATAAGTTACAGCTCTCATATATTATACTTTTCTTAACTGAATATTTCTTACTTATTTTATTTATGTATATGTTTCTAAAAGGAAAAAGATAACACCAATTTTTTTTAAGTCTGTAGTTCTATACACTTTACTTCCCTGCAAAACCCTTTGTCATTTCTCAAATCAGAGTGTGCTGATGAGAGTGTCTGAAGCAAACCATGATCATCCTTAGCGCTTGTCTCAGTGAAGACAATGTTGGAAACCACTGAATTTCATCACTAAGGATTTTTTCTTTTAGTGTTGGTATCGTTTGATGTCTTTCTATTTATTTTTATTTTTTATTTTAGATATAGGGAGTGCACAGTCTTGTTTGTTACATGTATTACATGTGTAATGGTGGGGATTGGGTTTCTAGTCTACCTATAATCCAAATATTGAACATCATTATACCTAATAGGTAATTTTCAACCCTCACTCCTCCCTACCTTCCCCGCTTTCAGAGTTTTCAGTGTCTATTATCTCCACCTTTACATTTATGTGTACTCACTGTTTAGCTCCCACTTGTAAGTGAGAACATGTGATATTTGATCTTGTGCTTCTAAGTTAGTCTCAGGATCTTTTTATCTGCAAACCATCTATGTTATCCCCCAACAAGTCTAGACATGCAAACATGTTTGCAAGTAAATGCTCTTTGATAAAAGAAACCCTTTAAGAAATTCTTGGGAAAACTTTGTAATAACTGTAAACATTTCAAAGTATTATGCCATAATTTTGGTGTATTATAGGAGCAATAGAAAAAAAAGGATTCTTTAGTTAAAATGGCAAAACCCACTTTAGAAAGAACATGTCTAAAACATGATGTAACTCAGAAAAAGAATTATTGGATCTTAAACAAAGAAAAGGATTATCAAAGCATTTGACTAGATTGTACAGTACCTCTGATTATCTGCCGATTCACAACCCTTTAATATCTTATATTTATTCCAATATGGAAAATATAGTGCACCTGGTAAAATTAGGCAATATTTAAATTCCATGCTCAACCTATTTAAAATATCAACTCAAAAATATTATAGCACATATCTTGGAAGGCAAAATATGACTATTTTATCTTTTGGGAATATACACTGTATCAGCTGCCTAGGTTTGCAAAACAAATTATGACAATGAACAATGAATCAAAACAATGAATATCACAATGAATCAAAGAAATGAAAATGGAAATATGATATACAAACACCTATGAGGTACAGCAAAAGCAGTATGATTTGGAAAGTATATTGCATACACATCTACACCTAAAAAGTAGAAAAACTTGAAATAAACAACCAAATGATGCATCTTAAAGAACTAGGAAAGGAAAAGCAAACCAAACCTAAAATGAGTAGAAGAAAAAAAAATAAAGATCAGAGCAGAAATAATATTGAAATGGAGAAAACAATATAAAATGTTAACAAAACAAAAAGTTAATTTTTTTAAGAGATAAACAAAATTGATATACCTTTAGCCAGACTTATTAAGGAAAAAAAGACCAAAATAAATAAAATCAGAGATTAAAAGGGACACATTACAATGGATACCATGGAAATTCAAAGGATCACTAGAGGCTATAATGAGCAACTATATATATATATATATATATATATATATATATATATATATGAGTATTTTGTCTTTTGGGAATATACACTGTATCAGTTCCCTAGGGTTGCAAAACAAATTATCACAATGAACAGTGAATCAAAAAGATGAATATCACAATGAATCAAACAAGTGAAAATATATATATATATATCAATACATTGAAAAGCCTAGAAAAAGCAGATAAATTTCTAGCCACATTTAACCTACCAAGACTGAACCATTAAGAAATCTAAAACCTGAAAAGAACAATAACAAGTAATGAGATCAAAGCCACAATAAGACTTCCAGTAAAGAAAAGCCCAGGAATTGATGACTTCACTGCTGAATTTTACCAAACATTTAAGGAAAAGCAAATGCCGATCCTACACAAACTGTTCCAAAAAATAGAGGAGCATGGATACCTCCAAACTCATTCTGCAATGCCAGCATTACCCTGATACCAAAACCAAAGACTCATCAAGAAAAGAAAACTATACATCAATATCACTGATGAACATAGGCGCAAAAATCCTCAACAGCATACTAGCAAACCAAGTTCTGCAACATGTTTAAAAGATTATTTATTATGACCAAGGGGGATTTATTCCAAGGATGCAAGGATGATTCAACACACCCAAGTCAATTAGTATAATACATAATATCAACGGACTAAAGGACAAAAACCATGTAATCCTTTCAATTGATGCATAAAAACATTTGACAAAACTCAACATCTCTTCGTGATTAAAACAATTAAAAAACTGGATACAGAAGAAACATAACTCAAAAAAAATAAAAGCCATATACAACAGACCCACAGCTAGTATCATACTGAATGAGGAAAAACTGATGGCTTTTCATCTAAGATCTGGAACAAGACAAGAATGCCTACGTTCACCACTATTATTCAACATAATATTGGAAGTCCTAGCTAGAGCAATCAGACAAGAGAAAAAAATAAAGGGCACCCAACTGGGAAAGAAGAAGTCAGATTATCTTTGTTTGCAGATGTTATGACCTTATATTTGGAAAAACCTAAGGACTCCAGAAAAAATATATTAGAATCAATAAATTCAGTAATATTTCAGGTTACAAAATTAACATACAAAAAATCAGTAGCATTTCCATATGCTAGCAGTGAACAATCTGAAAAGGATATCAAGAAAGTAATCCAATTATAATAGCTATAAGTAAAATTAAATACCTACTAATAAACTTAAGCGAAAAAAGTAAAAGTTCTCTACAATGAAAACTATAAAACATTGATTAAAGAAATTGAAGAGGACACAAAATAATAGAAAGATATTGCACGTTCATGAATTAGAAGACTCAATATTGTTAAAATGTTCATACTATCCAAAGCAATCTACAGATTCAATGCAATCCCTCAAAATACCAGTAACATCCTTCACAGCAATAGAGAAGAAAAAAATTCCAAAATTTATATGGAACCACGAAAATCAAGAACAGCCAAAGCTATCCTAAGCAAAAAGAACAAAACTGGAGGAATCACATCACCTGACTTCAAATTACACCACAGAGCTATAGTAACCAAAACAGTATGGTACTGGCATTAAAGCAGACACATAGACCAATGGAAAAGAATAGAGAACCCAGAAATGAATTTATATATCTACAGTGGACTCATTTTCAACAAAGGTGTCAAGAACATACTTTGGGGAATGACAGTCTCTTCAATCAATGCTGCTGGGAAAACTGGATATCCATATACAGCACAATGAATCTCGACCCCTATCTCTCATCATACACAAAAATCAAATAAAAATGGGTTAAAAATTTAAATCTAAAGAAACTAGTAAAAGACTTCAATCTTATACTTGCAAACTGCTATAAGAAGCATGAGGAAAACTCTTCAGGACATTGGTCTGAGCAAAGTTTTCTTGAGTAATACCATACAAGCACAGGAAACCAAAGCAAAAATGAACGAATGGGATTACATCAAGTTGGAAAAGCTTCTGAACAGCTACAGAAACAATCAACAAAGTGAGAAGACACTCCACAGAATGGGAGAAAATATTTGTAAACTACCCATCTGACAAGGGATTCATAACCAGAATATATAAGGAGCTCAAACGACTCAATAGTAAAAAACCTAATACGCTGATTTTTAAATTGGCAAAAGATCTGAATAGACATGTTTCAAAAGATAACACACAAATGGCAAACAGGTATATGAAAAGGTGTTCAGCATCATTGATCATCAGATAAAAGGAAATCAAAGCTATAATGAGATATCTTCTCACTCCAGTTAAAATGGCTCTCATCCAGAACCACCACTCAATCCAGCAATCTCATTGCTGGATATATAGAGGAAAATAAATCTTTCTACCATAAAGACATATGCACACAAATGTCCATTGCAGCACTATTCACAATAGCAAAGACATGGAATCAACATGAATGCCCATCAATGACAGATTGGATAAGGAAAATGTGGTACATATACACCATGGAATACTATGCAGCCATAAAAAAATGAGATGATGTCATTTGTGTGAACATGGATAAAGCTGGACGTTATTATTATTAGAAAACTAACACAGGAACAGAAAACTGAATGCCACATGTTCTCACTTATAAGTGGAAGCTAAATGATAAGAACTTATGAATACAAAGGAAAAACAACAGACACTGGGGCCTACTTGAGGGGGAGAGGGAAAGGAAAGAGAGGAGCAAAAAAGATAACTATTAGGTACTTGGCTTAATACTTGGGTAATGAAATAATATGTACAGCAAACCTCTGTGACATGTGTTTACCTATATAAAAAACCTTCACGTGTACCCCCAAACCTAAAAAAAAAGGTAAATAAATATACAAATAAATAAAATTACTTTTATCAAAATACAGGCAACGACAAATGCTGGCAAGGATGTGAAGGAAAGGGAACCCTCATACACTGTTGATGGGAATGTAAATTAATAATACAACCACTATAAAGGATGGTTTAAAGTTTCCTCAAAAAACTAAAAATACAACTACTATCTGATCCAACAATCCCATTTCTAGGTATCTACCCAAAAGAAAGAAAATTAGTATATTGAAAAGATATCTCCACTCCCATGTTTATTGTAGCACTATTCACAATAGCCAAGGTTTGAAGCAACCTAAGTGTCCATCAACAGATGAATAGATAAAGAAAATGTGATACATATACATGATGAAGTACTATTCAGCCATAAAAAATAATGAACTCCTGTCATTTTCACTAACATGGATGGAACTAGAGGTCATTATGTTAAGTGAAATAAGCCAGGCACATAAAGACAAACTTTGCATGTTCTCACTTATTAATGTGAGTTAAAAATTAAGACGATGGAACTCATGAAGATAGAGAGTAGAAATATGGTTACCAGAGGTTAGGAAGGGCAGGAGGGGAGTGGGGCAAAAGTGGGGATGGTTAATAGGTATGAAAATATAGTTAGATACACTGAATAATATCTAGTATTTGATAGCACAACAGGGTGACTACAGTCATCAATAACTTATTGTACATTTCAAAATAACTAAAAGAGTATAATTGGATTGTTTGTTACATAAGGAAAGGATAAATGCTTCCAGTGATTTATACCCCATTTACCCTCATGTGATTATTATGTACAACATGCCTGTATCAAAATATCTCATGTACCCCATAAATATATGTACCTACTATGTACCCACAAAAAATATTTTAAAATAATAGAAAATTTTAAAATTAGTTGCTTAAAGCACCAGAAATTAATCATCTCACAGTTCTATAAATCAGAAATGATAGTTTTGGCAAAGTTAGTTACTTCTGGAGGCTCTGAAGGAAAATCTGTTTCATGTCTCTCTCCTAGCTTCTGGTGACTATCAAAGTAATTGGCCATTTCTTGACCTGTAGACACATTATTTCAATTGCTGCCTGTATCTTTACATGGCCTTTCCCTCTGTGGGTTCTCTTTTGTATCTGTGTGTCTCAAACCTGCCTTCCTTTTCCCTCTTATAAGGGCACCAGTAACTGAATTTAAGGCCTAATCCAGAATGATCTCATCCTAAGGTCCTTAGTTATGTCTGCAAAAACCCTATTTCCAAATAAGTTCACATTCACAAATACTAGAGATTAGGTATCATGCATATCTTTTTGAGGAACACCATTCAACCACTGTAGCCTGCCCTCAGCCCCCTAAAATTTACATCTGTCCTAAATGGAAAATGGGGAATCACACCATTCCAGCATCACTCAAAGTTTTCCAATTACAGCATCAACTCTAAATCCAAAATCTTATCTAAAAGTCATCTGCTCAAAAAGTCCCAAATCTAATATTTTAATTATCTAAATCAGGTATTGGCAAGACTCTCCATATGATCCATCTTGGGGGAAAATTCCTCACCATCTGTGGACCTATAAAACTATAAAACGAGTTGTCTGCTTCCAAAATACAAAGGTGGGATAAGCATAGAAAAAACATTCTCATTCCAAAGGAGAAAACTGGAAGAAATAAAGGGGTCGCTGGTCTCCAGTAAGTTTGAAGCCCTACAGGAAAAATTCTGTTAGGTTTCAAAACCTGAGAAAATTCTCCATAGCTCAAAGCTCTGTCCACTGGGCCCATGAAGGCTCTCCTCTCCGGACTTAAACAGAACCCATCCTCTGCTCCCAGGAAGGCTCGTTGGCCACTGCCTCTGCATTCAAAATACTGCCCTCAGAATTATTACTCTTTTTTATTGTAAAGGGGCACATATTTGCAGGCAAATTACTCTATTATCCTTTTTCTGCTTGTAGAATTTTGGGAGTTCAGAAACATTCTTTTATTTTATCCAATTCCTTTCAGCCAAAACTGTTAGAATTTCTCTTGGTATAACATTCTCAAAAATGTTGTGAGTCTCCTTTGTAATTCATAGGGTTCCACATGATTAGACAAGAGGATACTCAACAGATCCTTCCTTGAACACTTCATCTCTATTGCTGGATTCTCCTGAGACATTTTATTGGCTCCATAAGTCACACCCAATCTCTTCAGGAAAAGGTTGTCCAGCCACACATTTGGCCCTGTCCCCAGAGAATGCTTTTCTAGCAGCAAATTTTCTAACTTTGGCATCCTTTACAATGTGAATAGACCAAGAACTGTCCAAATTATCAAGTGCTCATTGCTTTTTTGCATGAGTTCCTTCTTCCATTTATCTTTTTCCTCTGGAATTGTACTATAAGCTGCAACTTCAACACTTTGCTTGGAAATTTCCTCAGCTAAATATCCAAGTTTATTGCTTACAAGTTCCCCTCTCTCCCAACAGTAGACCACAATTCAAACAAGTTTTCTGCCATTTTGTAATAAGAATCACCTTTCTTCCAGTTTCCAATAAAATGCTCCTCATTTCTTCCTGAGATCTCACTAGAAATACCTTTAATATTCACATTTCTATCAACCATGTCTTCAAGGCAATTTAGGCTTTTTCTATTATACACCTAAAAATTCTTTCAGCCACTTGCACATTTTTAGGTATTTCTTACAGCAGATCCCACTCTCAGTACCAAATCTGTATCAGTCAGGATTCCATCAGAAAAACAGAACCAGTGGGATGTTCACGGTATGTGACACATCCCCATTATGAAGGGTAATCTTCTTTATGTAAAGTCAGTTGTCTTCTGCCAGGCAGTGTTGCTCATGCCTGTAACCCCAGCACTTTGGGAGGCTGAGGCAAGAGGATTTCTTGAGGCTAGGAGTTAGAGACCAGCCTGGGCAACATAGTGAGCCCCTTCTCAAAAAAAAAAAAAAAAAGAATTGATTAGTTGAGTGTGGTAGTATGCCCCTGTAGTCCCAGCTACTTGGGAGGCTGAGGTGAAAAGATGGCTTGAGCTCAAGAGTTCAAGGCTGCAGTGAGCTATGATTGCACCACTGCACTCCAGCCTGGGCAACACACTGATATCCTGTTTAGTGTGAGATCCTCTAAACGAACAAACAAACAAAACACAGAGTTTATTGCCTCATAGAAGCAGAGAGTAGAATAGTGGTTACCACAGGCTGAGGTGAAAGAGAAATTGGGGTGATGTTGGTCAAGGATACAATATTTTAGTTAGGAGGAATAAGTTCAAGAGATCTATTGTACTGTACAACCTGGTGACTATAGCTAATAATAATGCATTGTATACTTAAAAATTGTTAAAAGAGTATATTTTAAGTGTGCTCATCACAAGTAAATGATATGTTCATGAAGCAATGTATATGTTAATTATCTTGATTTAGCCATTCTACAATGTATACACATTTCAAAACATCATATTGTGCACCATAAGTATGTACAATTTTTTGAGTCAAATGGGCAAATAAGTAAGTTTTTTTTAATGTCCACATAAAGATGGGCCGTATGAAAATAGTTTGTTATATAATAGATGCTCCCCAAAGTTCCAGATCTCCAGAAAAGAAATAAATGGCATATTGCATGAGACTAATAAAATTTAAAACGGTCCAAAGAAAGATGGCAATTTAATAGATAGAAACCATAACAACAGGCACTGAGCTAGACACTTCCTTAATACTAATACACAAGATAAGAATTATTTCCATTTTATAAATGGGGAAGTCATGGTTCAGCTGTATGAAGTCAATCGCTACTAATAAAAGTCAACATTTAAATATGTGCTACTTGAAATCTACCCTATATCAAAGTCCATGCATTCTCCACTGCTCCCAGTGGCCTCTTTTAGAAATGCTCATAATGTTTATGAGAATGGACAGATAGTGCACGCAAAAGGAAATCTCTTCCTTGCACCCAGCTCAACCACAACACCAAATTGACTTTGTCATAGTCTAGCTAACTTTTTTTTTTACAAAATAATAACCCCATAGAACACACAGACAAAAACATACACACCATTCAAAAAGTTTATACAATAAAAAGTAAGTTTTATTGCCAACCCAGATACCTAATCTCATTCTTCACAGGTAAGCTTCATCAATATTTCTTACATATCTTTTTAAAAAATTCCCAGGCCCATCTATTCTTCTACATCTTTTTAAAGACAAAAAGGAGTAATATATTTGACACTTTGTTCTGTACCTTGCTTTTGTTTCCTTTTTTCTTTCTTTTTTCTTGTAAATTAGGTATTTTCTCCTCAGCACATAGAGGATTACACCATTTATTTTAATGGGTAGTTTATTTTATGTCTATACAATAATACATTTAACCAGTTCTCTGTCAGTGTGCTTTTAGGGTTTTCTTGCTTTTTGATGTTCCAACAAAGCTGAACTCAACTTTTTCACACATGTGGGTGTTGTTTTCTTTTGCTCTCCTTCTTATTCAGCCCAGCTGTTCATCTCTGAGAGTCACATGGCCCTTGGTGTTTGCTATCTACTGTTCTTGTGCAGTGCCGAAACTCCCTTGCAAAAGAAAAATCTCTAGGGAGATTCTTGCATTTGTTCTCTACAGAGCTTTAAGAGCAATACGGGTAAGCAAGTGTCACAATTTAGATGTTATTGAAAACAGATCTTCATAGGTTAACTTCTAACCTTAAATATTATACAACGTTGTAATAAGAAACATGGCAAGGAAATTTAAAAATGCTTGCCAAAGTTAAAAGAAACCAATCACATTTTTATTATACTTCCTAAAAATTCATTTAGCTCTATTTGGAAACCCCTACCAGTCTGAAGAGTCATACATTATTTCCTTGCCCTTATGCACTTTTTCACTTGACAGGCAGAAACCTAGTTTTCATTTTATTAAATGAAAATGAATACTCAGCAATACCTATCGTTTTTATTTATATTTTTAGAATACCAAACATCAAATAACAACTTCTGATGACACTGAGGCATGATTAATCATTATTATAACTCTATTGTGTCATCTCTGCAAATACTTTTCATTTGTCTTTATTTGTAGCAGATGAGGACTGCTCCTTTTTTTTTTTTTTTTTTTTTTTTTTACAGAGTCTCACACTGTCTCCCAGGCTGGAGTGCAATGGCAGTGATCTCGGCTCACTGCAACCTCCGCCTCCCGGGTTCAAGCAATTCTCCTGCCTCAGCCTCCTGAGTAGCTGGGATTACAGGCACCTGCCACTACACCTGGCTAATTTTTTTGTATTTTTGGTAGAGAGAGGGTTTCACTATGTTGGCCAGGCTGATCTCGAACTCCTGACCTTGTGATCCACTCACCTCAGCATCCTGAAGTGCTGGGATTACAGCCATGAGCCACCACACCCGGCCTGATGAGGACTGTTTTCATTTCAAAAACAACTATTCAATTCAACTTCTTCAATAAAAAGTGAATTTAGTAATGGAATGAGCTGGTAAAATGCTTAACAACTTTTTGCTAATAGTACAATAAAAAGAATTTTTAAATGAACTATTATTTGAGCCAGAATAGCCCAAATATCCCCTAAATGACCATAACTTTTCACTTTTTTATATTGATTTGTTATAGGACAGATCAGCACCTTATAAAATGCTGTCCCACAGAACGATGTTCCATGATTGTTAATAGTTATAAGAACAAAAGGGTGGGAAAGGGAACATTTAATGTATAAATGTTCATTAAGAAACTTCGAAACAATGTACAGGATGAATCTTTTCACTTTTTTTCCCTTTGTCCTACTAGTCAGCATTCTCTGGTATTCTAGAAATCACCAGAAAGACCAGCATGCAAACTTAATCATGAATAGCTATGAAACAATGATTCTCCTTTTTAAAATCCTTAGAATAATGCAACTTAGAATGAATTATCTTCAGCATTATGAGGAACATTGTTTTTTAAACGTTATCAACCTTAATGGATGTAACAAGTAGAAATGTTTCTATACATATAAGTCTCTTGTTAAAATTCTCTTTTTAAAAAAATCACTGTGTGACCTAATTTTCAAAATATCTGCTTTCTGTCTACCTTTCCCAACCTACTATTTCCCATTCAGCAAAACCATAAATTTCCTTTTTGAGATTTAAGCAAGAGGTTAACTCTTTTGTTAAGCACTGAGCCCTCATGTGTCACCCATCCCCTCTTCTGTGTTCCCAGGCCCTCTAGAAACCTACCACTTATTTTCTTTTATCACATAGTACTATAATTTGGCATGTATTTTTCTGCCGGTTTTACTAGGCCCAAAGAACCTAAGGATCAGAGACAAATTATTAGTATCAGTATTAGTGTTAGTGCTAGCATTAGTATCAGTATTTACAGGCATGGTACCTACACGGGAACCTGGAACTCTCCAAGCATTCAATAAATGTGTGTTAAATAAATAAATGAGCAAAAGTGTCTCCAGAGCCTCCATGTTATCAATGTTTTTGTCAATAATTTAAATCAGGAAGAGAATCAGGTCTGTAGAAAATGTTTAAATTGATTTTTGCCAGAGAAGTGTTTTAAGTTAAATTGTAATACCTTCAGTTGAAGCATGCATTCCTCTTTCTACAGTCCTGACATCACTCTATTTTCTTCTATCTGGCAGTTTCAAACTCTACTCTTACCTAGACTCTCACAGCAACTGAGTTTTCTACTTCTGGTCTAGATATTACATGAGAAAAAATATCCATTACGTTTACAGGTATAAAATGGGTTGTACATAGAGAAAAGATATATTTTAATAAAAATGAAAATAGATATGTACACTTAAGTGGGAAAAGAAGTGAGAAAAATAGATAAG
Source organism: Homo sapiens (assembly GCF_000001405.40). Lineage (NCBI taxonomy): Eukaryota > Metazoa > Chordata > Mammalia > Primates > Hominidae > Homo > Homo sapiens. The sequence goes on from NT_187628.1 coordinate 87,353, forward strand.
AAATAATACAGTGTGATCAATTTGTAAAGTAAGTTCTATAACATGATAGTGACATGGTAGCCATTAGAGCATATACTCACTCCACATCTTTAATGAGCATTTAGGCAACAAGCAGAGGCTGACATGGAAAATGGGGAAAGGGTTCCCAGGATGGCCACCAAGATGATTCAAGGTTAAAAAAGAAAACCTGGTCCAAATAGGAAGAGAGGAAGTCAAATTGTCCCTGTTTGCAGGTGACATGATTGTATGTTTAGAAAACCCCATCATCCCAGCCCAAAATCTCCTTAAGCTGATAAGCAACTTCAGCAAAGTCTCAGGATACAAAATCAATGTCCAAAAATCACAAACATTCCTATACACCAATAATAGACAAACAGAGAACCAAATCATGAGTGAACTCCCATTCACAATTGCTACTAAGAGAATAAAATACCTAGGGATAAAATTTACAAGGGATGTGAAGGACCTCTTCAAGGAGAACTACAAACCACTGCTCAAGAAAATAAGAGAGGACACAAACAAATGGAAAAACATTCTATGCTCACAGATAGGAAGAAGCAATATCATGAAAATGGTCATACTGCCCAAAGTAATTTATAGATCAATGCTATCCCTGTCAAGCTACCACTGACTTTCTTCACAGAATTGGAAAAAACTACTTTAAACTTCATATGGAACCAAAAAAGAGCCCCCATAGCCAAGACAATACTAAGAAAAAGAACAAAGCTGGAGGCGTCATGCTATCTGACTTCAAATTATACTACAAGGCTACAGTAACCAAAACAGCAATGGTACTGGTACCAAAACAGATATATAGATCAATGGAACACAACAGAGCCCTCAGAAATAATGCCACACATCTACAACCATCTGATCTTTGACAAACCTGACAAAAACAAGCAATGGGGAAAAGATTCCCTACTTAATAAATGTTGGAAAAACTGGCTAGCCCTATGCAGAAAACTGAAACTGGACCCCTTCCTTACACTTTATACAAAAATCAACTCAAGATGGATCAAAGACTTAAATGTAAGACCTAGGACCATAAATATCCTAGAAGAAAACCTGGGCAATACCATTCAGGACATAGGCATGGGCGAGGACTTCATGACTAAAACACCAAAAGCAATGGCAACAAAGGCCAAAATTGACAAATGGGATCTAATTAAACTAAAGAGATTCTACACAGCAAAAGAAACCACCATCAGAGTGAACAGGCAACCTACAGAATGGGAGAAAAATTTTGCAATCTATCCATCTGACAAAGGGCTAATAGAATCTACAATTAACTTAAGCAAATTTACAAGAAAAAAAAACAAACAACCCCATCAAAAAGTGGGCAAAGGATATGAACAGACACTTCTCAAAAGAAGACATTTATGCAGCCAACAGACACATGAAAAAATGCTCATCATCACTGGTCATCAGAGAAATGCAAATCAAAACCCCAGTGAGATACCATCTCACACCAGTTAGAATGGCGATCATTAAAAAGTCAGGAAACAACAGATGATGGAGAGGATGTGGAGAAATAGGAGCACTTTTACACTGTTGGTGGGAGTGTAAACTAGTTCAACCATTGTGGAAGACAGTGTGGTGATTCCTCAAGGATCTAGAGCTAGAAATACCATTTGACACAGTGATCCCATTACTGGGTATATACCCAAAGGATTATAAAACATGCTACTACAAAGACACATTCATGTATATGTTTATTGCGGCACTATTCACAATAGCAAAGACTTGGAACCAACCCAAATGTCCATCAGTGATAGACTAGATTAAGAAAATGTGGCACATATACACCATGGAATACTATGCAGCCATAAAAAAGGATAAGTTCATGTCCTTTTCAGGGACATGAATGTAGCTGGAAACCATCACTCTCAGCACACTAACACAAGAACAGAAAACCAAACACTGCGTGTTCTCACAAGTGGGAGGTGAACAATGAGAACACATGGACATAGGGAGAGGAACATCACACACCAGGGCTTGTTGGGGAGTGGGGGGCTAGGGGAGGGATAACATTAGCAGAAATACCTAATGTAGATGATGGGTTGATGGGTGCAGCAAACTACCATGGCACGTGTATACCTATGTAACAAAACTGCACATTCTGCACATGTACCCCTGAACTTAAAGTATAATAAAAATTAAAAAAGAGAAAACCTGGTCATGAAGAGTTTCTCCAAGGAAGACCAGAGAATCATGTGATGTGGCTATTTCTAAAGATGGACCAGGTTGAGCAGAAGTGGTATCACTGTTCACTTTAGACAGAGCTCTGAACACAGGAGGGGAAGAAAATTTTTAAAAGAAAAAGATCCAAAATTTTTTAAAAGAAGAATTGTAAATTGGCAAACTCTGTTAAAGAAAGAACCAAAAGAAGGTGAGTTTTTGGGAGCATTCTAAAGACAGTCCTCTAATTAAATAAGCCATCAGATTCTTTCAGTGAGGATAATCATGGCTGAGAGGAGAGTTCCAATAGTCCCCACCCCAGTTTAGAGATCACATTCAAATAAGCAAACTCTGTAAACACATCCTGAGTTCAGGTTTGTTTCCCCAGTACAAAAACAGAGCCAAGGAACAACAAATAAATACTTACTGAATGTCCTCTACGCTGGGTACCACAATTGATGCTGAAGGACAAGAATTACAAAGAACAAGTTAGAGTCCTTTCTAAGTCAAGTGATCCTGTTTGGTGGTCTCAGACTTTTCTTTTTTACAGCACACAGGTTACATGTAAAACAACTGTTCCATCAGTAATGAGTCTCTTTACAGTAAATGATTTCTGTGAGTCTTCCCTACTCCCCAAGGGTTCATATCAGAATCTTTGAGAAATCATAATATTTGGGGTATTTTGAAAAGTTTCCACTTTGAGATTCTAATATGTGTCCCTTCTCCAAGGATATACTATCCCTAGTTGAGAATTACGGGTTTGGTGAGGCTTGGCGATGCTTGGGGACTGGAAAACAGAGAAAGAAGTAGAGACTGATATAGCAACTTGTATACTAGATTTAATTACAAAATCATAGCACACAACAAAAACTTGTATACAACAAAGTCATGTATAAAAATCCCTTAAACTTCTGTGAAATACACTATAAATGGTTTCATATATAAAACTATATCCTATAACATCTGTATGTAAATGTGCTATGTATTCAAAGTTAAAGATCATCTATTCCCTTAGACAGTTTATATTCATAAATTATAGCACAAGATTTGACAACTTGAAAAGCTTTAGCAAATGTATGAAAATATCAACTTACTAGGTATTTCTATTTCTTATAATCATTTTTATCTTATGGAAAAAAAAATTATCTCTTTCTATAACTCTTCTAGTCAATGTTCTGCATTGTTCTCAGTGCAATATTTACTCCTGAACTGCTTTTATAAAGCCAGTATTATCTACCTGTCTAGCTGTGTAAACACTACAGTTCTCCTCTTTGCCAAAGATCTAAAAAAAGAAAATCCTTAATATAGTTCACAATTGTCTTTCGGCATGCATACTGTTTCAGGCTTAAGTATATCCACAGCCTGAACACTTTTGCCCCACCTTTTAAATTATTCTTCTCATTGGCAAGTAGATGTAGTCGAATGTGTATAAGTTATATGCCTATCTGATGCTATTCCACTGTGATTACAAGATAAATTAATGGTGCCTACAACAAAGGCACGTAGAATATGCTTAGATGCACAGAGGACAAAGCCACTAGATCTTTGAAGAAGAAATTGAAAAAAGCATCACCATGGAGATAATATTTGGAACAGTGAAGAAACTAACAGTTAAAGATGTCAATGGAAGGCCGGGTGCAGTGGTTCACACCTGTAATCCCAGCACTTTGGGAGGCTGAGGCAGGTGGATCACCTGAGGTCAGGAGTTCGAGACCAGCCTGACCAACATGGTGAAACCCCATCTCTACTAAAAAATTACAAAAATTATCTGGGTATGGTGGTATGCACCTATAATCCGAGCTACTTGGGATGCTGAGGCAGGAGGATGGCTTGAGCCCTGGAGGCAGAGATTGCAGTGAGCCGAGATCACACCATTGCACTCCAGCCTGTGCAACTAGAGCAAAACTCTTCTCAAAAAAAAAAAAAAAAAAAAAAAAAAGATGTCAATGGAGGTAGGTCAGATACTCTAGCAAAAACATAAATAAATATAAGAGGCATAAAAGAATATAGTACGTTTAGGAAATGGTGATAAGTTTGAATCATTAAAGGAAAGTATGTTGGTCCAGGCTCTGTGGCTCATGCCTGTAATCCAAGCACTTTGGGAGGCTAAGGTGGGCAGATCACTTGAGGTCAGGAGTTCAAGATCAGCCTGGCAAACACGATGAAACCCTGTCTCTACTAAAAAAAAATAAAATTAGCCAAGCATGCTGGCGGTCACCTGTAATCCCAGCTACTCAGGAGTCTGAGGCAGGGAAAGTTGCTTGAACATGGGAGGCAGATGTTGCAATGAGCCAAGACCAGGCCACTGTACTCCAGCCTGGGCCACAGAGCAAGATTGTGTCTCAAAAAATAAAAAAAAAAAAAAAGAAAGAAAAGAAAAGTATGTTGGTGAGTATATCTGGAGAGATTTGTCAAAAACAATGGAACTAATAAAGTACAAATGGAACCAATAAAATAAACTATTCCTAGACTGTGGTAAGTTTCACATGCTCTGAGAAGGCATATAGATATAGACTTTATATTATCATCAAAAGGTAACTAACATGAGGAGTTAATCAAAGAGTAATATGGTTATGTTTTGCTTTTTTTCTTTCAGTAACATAACTTTAATAGCAGTAAGGAGTTATGGATTAGAGACAGAAAAAGAGTAGATATGTGTATATCCATTAGGAAAACTTTGCTTAAGCCGAGAAGGGAATGAAGAGATGATAATAAAGTCAACATTTGAACTTAGCAATTGGTTCTTTGCAATACACTGTGGAGATTAACAATTCAGGCTTTAAACTAGACTTCTAGGGTCTACAGCTACTTCTGCTATTATAAAACCACGAAGAAACTAACTCCTCTAAACTTCAGTTATGTGTCAGTTAAATAGTACTTCCTGGATAAGATTATGCTTGACATAATGCATGTAAAAGTACTCAGCGCCATTTGTGGTACACAGTAAGAATTCACTGTTAAGTATCATTACTAGCTATGGTGAGGAGATAAAAGTAGAGAAAGAGAAATCCAGAATGATTCTCCGATTTCCTGCTTGAATAATGAAGTACTAGGTAATGTTGGAAGAAAAATAGGTTTTGCAAAAAGGTAGGTCTCTCTCTCTCTCTTTCTCTTTTAGAATTATTATCTGCCTCTTTTTTCAATCCTAGTATTCTCCTTAACCTAGACCAGGAAGCTGAACCTGCTGGATATCTTCCATTTTCCCTTCAGATCAATTTTCTGCATCTATGAAGTAAGAAACCCAGCTTCTGCCAAGAAATCCTGCTGCTTCTAGCCTGAGTCTTACACTGCCTGTGGCTTCTTAGTGCCTTAAAAAACAATCCCTCCATTAAACTCTACTGAAATTGTCCAATTGGATTGTGCCATCTCTGGTTCTGCAAAGACCCTTACTGATACATGGAAACTGGCATATCCTGGAATCAAGTCTCCTGGAGGGATTGGGAGTGACAAGTATATCTCAATACATCAGAACTGATTATTTCCTACTCTATGGTGACCTACTCTAAGGAGATTCGAGGCAATTTTAAAAATCCAATAAAAGGGGGGTTAGAATATCAATCATAGCATGGAGGTTATAAAGTAGCAATTACTGAGGAAGCTTACCAGACAGGAGGTCCTGAGGGCAGCCATGCGAGAGGAGTATAATTCTGCTGGGCAGGTGTAGGAAGGATGGACTGTAGAAAAGACCAGGAATTCTGCAGGTCCAGTCACATAATTAAAGGCACTGGTGGGGAAAGAAATCATCAAGAATACATGCAAAGTTTGTGAAGGAGTATAAAAACACAGTTAGATAAAAAGAATAGAGAAGTTCTAGTATTCATAAGTAGAATATAAAAATTATAGTTAACAATGACTTATTGTAGATTTTAAAGTAGCTAGGAAAGAAAAATTGCAATGTTCCTAACACAAAGGAAAGATAAATGTCTAAGGTGGTGGATATCCCAATTACCCTGATTTGATCATTACACATTGTATACATGTATCAAAATACCATATGTACCCCAAAAATATGTCCAGCTATTATATATCAATAAAAGTAAACAAAATAAGAATTTTAACAAAGTCAATGCAGCACAACACAACAAAAATCTGGTGGGACAACTCACACCCCAGTGGAGATCAACTCAGGATACTGATAGACCATGTGGATTGAGCTACCCTGCAAAAGGCAGAGGCTAGTTCCAAAGACTAGCCGAGGTGTCTGGAGGTTAGTAACAGTGATGGAAAAAGAGCTCTGGCCCACATGCCCCTCCCCTAGTGTCATCAGGACAATTTAAGCTTCTTTTTGCACTCAAATACTGTATTAGAAGGAAGAGGAGAAAAGAACCTTTGAGAGTGGAAGGAAATTTTGGGAGACTGAGTAGTTACCAGAAAAAAAAAAAAATAAGACTAATATGCAGAACAGACTGATACATGCTTAATTGGCAAGATCTCATGCTATCTGCCCTCGATAAGACTGTGTGCCTGAGAACAAAATGAGATGTTATAGAACACAAACATCTCGTTTATAATTTACCTTACATTTCTGTTTCTCAATTAATGATGATTCAAACTGAACTTCACTGTATATATATAGTCATGCAATTTGGGCTAAAATGTGAGAAGCCAATAGGACATCCATGGAAAGATGGCCCAGTATGTCTAAAGACATAGATTTGGAAGTTATTGGCATATAGGTCATGTTGGAGTCATGTAAGTGAATGAATTATCAAGGGCAGAAAGAAGAGAGAGGAAAAAAGGTAGAACTCCTGAGTAACACCAATAGTTATGGGATGTAGACAGAGAAATTACTAGAAGGAATAAACAGAGAGGTTGGAAGGTAATCTAGACACCGTGGTGCATGCAGAAAACCTAAGAGGAGAGAAAATAATTCTAAAGCGGGAATAATCAATACTGCCAAATTCTGCAGAAGGGGAAAAATAAGGATAAGGACAGAAAAGTGGCCAATAGAGTCTGTATCATAAATCCAGAGAGAGAAGAGAAAAAAACTAAGACTACAGGTCTATTGTGCCATCAATGACTTGAGATATTGCCTTAATACTGGCTAACAGAGATATTGTGTCTAACTGAACATCCTAGGAAGTTAATACAGAGGTTACTTCTTCTTATGCATATTTGAATAATATTAAATATATTCATATAGCTATTAAAAAGTATAAGACAGCTATATAGTAAATTTACACTAGTATTTTATGAGCAGGAGGATATCCAACTGGGTTTCATTTATTCACTTTCATCAAAAAGCTACAAATAAGACACTGTCCATTTGTGTTACAATTCTTTGTATGCCTGTTGGTCCATTCTCTGTACTAGTTATTTGCAATTAAATGAGTCAAGAAGAGAGAATGGAAGAAACTGATGAGAAAAAGTACACTTTGGTACCAAAGTGTACCAAATATTTATATTAAATAATTTTCTGTTGGTAACATTCAAATTTCTCACTGTCAGCAAAACTTCAGCAGAAATTTCAGATCATGATGGTTGATGTGACTTGGTGCCCAAAAGTAACTGTGCTTAAGTTACATAAATAACTAAAGCCTGTCACAGATGTTTTTATCTACTAGCCCATGATCTATTTTATCTTTGAACTTAAGGAGTCCAAAAAGATTTGTCCAGAGACATGTTGTGTTTATAGGTGCAGTCTAGTGGGCATGCTGAGTATCTATTTTTCTAAACACACTATGTTGCATCCTGATTAAGTCATTTATATGCAAATGTTACACTGAATGAGATACCTGGTTTTTAAGGCTTCTCCATTGTGCATAACGCCTCCATCATAAACGTTGCTCACATGTTTAGATATTTATTCCTCACTGAGATATTTTTATCATCGATTGACAGAAATATACCAGTGATTGCTCAGTACTATATACTATGCCAATTTTCAAATAGTCTAATGGGATAGAGCCTTCATGTCATTAAAGCACAAGTTTACAGAAACATAACTGCCCCGGGATTAGAAGATAATTTTAGTAGTCTTTGGGAATTTCATCCTTAACATTTAGGTTGGGGAAAGGGATTCCAGACACAAAGTCTGTCCCCTACCTTGAGAACAAAGTCTGAGAGTGTTATCCTGTGCACTCTAACGTTTTGCACAAAAATGTGTTACATTGAAGCAGATCACTCCAAGCCTGGGATCTAATGGAGTGGGTCTGAGGTATGCCACCCCCAAGTACCTTTCTTGACCAATGCATCAGCTTTTGGGAGTATTGGCTGCTAATAGCTCACAGCTAAGTGTTTCTCCTGGCATGTGGAAACCATCTAACCCAAAGTTATGCTCCGCCCTAGGGGCAGTTTATATCCAGTGGCTGGTTAACTGGCAAGGTGGAAAGATGAGAGTAAGAAAACCAATCCTTTATGTTTTAATTTGGGACAAATCTGAAGATCCATAAACTCCAGAGCTTCTTTGTTGCAATCACAAGGCATTTTCAACCTCTCCCTCTGCCTCATCCTGCTTCTTTCAATCCTTTCTAATCTAATTTCTGAGAGCATTCATCCATAAAATTTCTGCAAGCAAATCTCCACCTCAAATTCTGTTTCCAGGAATGGTGACCTAAAGCAGTTGAAGCCAGGAGTGGTCCTAAGAAGCAGTATATAAAATGGTATTTTAGAGCTGAGTCATCTGCTGATGGCTAGCAGTGAGGACCCCATCACTGGTGATAGGTAGAGCATTATTAGCTCCAGGCATATTAGAACAATGAAATTGTTAAGACTTTCACCTGAGATGAATGGGATCGGAAAAGAAAGCATTGTCTGGGGACAGAATCTCAAGCATTTGAGAAATTTGGGGAAAATAATAATTATAAAAACTATGGAAGAAATGACTGTTGCTGAGGGCTGTCATTTCACTGGAGAAAGACAATGGAAAACTGGAGATAATTAATTACCAATTTAAAGTAAGTGTGAAAACCACAGGGATTGTTTGGCAGCATATGAAGAATCTCTGCCCCAGGGTGGTTGGCAAGATGGCCAAATAGAAACAGCTCCGGTCTGCAGCTCCCAGTGAGATCAACGCAGAAGGCAGGTGACTTCTGCATTTCCAACTGAGGTACTCGGCTCATCTCACCGGGAGTGATTAGACAGTAGGTGCAGCCCACAGAGGGCAAGACAAAGCAGGGTGGGGTGTCGCCTCACCTGGGAAGCACAAGGGGTCAAAGAGCTCCTTTCCCTAGCCAAGGGAAGCAATGAGAGACTGTGCCATAAGGAACAACGAATTCTGGCCCAGAAACTATGCTTTCCCCACAGTCTTCACAACCTGCAGACCAAGAGATTCCCTCAAGTGGCTACACCATCAGGGCCCTAGGTTTCAAGCACAAAACTGGGTGGCCATTTAGGCAGGCACTGAGCTAGCTGCAGGAGTTTTTTTCATACCCCAGTGGCACCTGGAATGCCAGTGAGACAGAACCATTCATTCCCCTGGAAAGAGGGCTGAAGCCAGGAAGCCAAGTGGTCTAGCTCAGTGGATCCCACCCCCATGGAGCCCAGCAAGCTAAGATCCACTGGCTTGAAATGCTTGCTGCCAGCACAACAGTTTGAAGTCAACCTGGGATGCTCGAGCTTGGTGGGGTAGGGGTGTCCAGCATTACTGAGACTCGAGAAAGCTGTTTTCCCCTTACAGTGTAAACAAAGCTGCCAGGAAGTTCAGACTGGGCAGAGCCCATCACAGCTTGGCAAAGCTGCTATAGCCAGCCTTCCTCTCTAGATTTCTCCTCTCTGGGCAAGGCATCTCTGAAAGAAAGGCACCAGCCCCTGTTAGGGGCTTATAGATAAAACTCCCATCTCCTTGGGACAGAGCACCTGGGGGAAAAGAGGGCTGTGGACACAGGTTTAGCAGACTTAAACATGCCTGCCTGCCAGCTCTGAAGAGAGTGGCAGATCTCCTAGCATAGCGCTCGAGCTCTGCTAAGGGACAGACTGCCTCCTCAAGTGGGTCTCTGACCCCCATGTCTCCTGACTGGGAGACACCTCCTAGCAGGGGTCGACAGACATGTCATAGAGGAGAGCTCCGGCTGGCATCTGGTGGGTGCCCCTCTGGGAAGAAGCTTCCAGAGGCAGCAAAAGGCAGCAATCTTAGCTGCTCTGCAGCCTCCACTGGTGATACCCAGGCAAACAGCGTCTGGAGTGGACCTCCAGGAAACAGGGTCTGGAGTGGACCTCCAGCAAACTCCGGCAGACCTGCAGCAGAGGCACCTGTTAGAAGGAAAACTAATAAACATCAATATCAACAAAAAGGATGTCCAAACATAAATCCCATCCGAAGGTCACCAACATCAAAGACCAAAGGTAGATAAATCCACGAAGATGAGGAAAAACCAGTGAAAAAGGCTGAAAATTCCAAAAACCAGGCCTCTTTTCCTCCAAAGCATCACAACTCCTCACCAGCAAGGGAACAAAACTGGACAAAGAATAAGTTTGATGAATTGACAGAAGTAGCCTTCAGAAGGTAGGTAATAACAAACACCTCCAAGCTAAAAAAAAAAAAAAAAAAAAAAAAAAAACATGCTCTAACCCAATGCAAGGAAGCTAAGAACCTTAAAAAAAGAGGTTAGAGAAATAACTAACTAGAATAACAAGTTTAGAAAAGAACATAAATGACCTGATGGAGCAGAAAAACACAGCACAAGAACTTCATGAATCATACACAACTATCAATAGCTGAATCAATCAAGTGGAAGAAAGGATATCAGAGAAATTAAAGATCATATATAAAGTGTGAAGACAAAATTAGAGAAAAAAGAATTAAAAGGAACAAATAAAGCCTCCAAGAAATATGGGACTATGTGAAGAGACCAAACCTGCATTTGATTGGTGTACCTGAAAGCGATAGGGAGAATGGAACCAAGTTGGAAAACACTCTTCAGGATATTATCCAGGAGAACTTCCCCAGACTAGCAAGACAGGCCAACATTCAAATTCAGGAAATACAGAGAACACCACAAAGATACTCCTTGAGAAAAGCAACCCAAGACACAAAATTGTCAGATTCACCAAGATTGAAATGAAGGAAAAAATATTAAGGGCAGCCAGAGAGAAAGGTCAGGTTACCCACAAAGTGAAGCCCATCAGACTAACAGCAGATCTCTCTGCAGAAACCTTACAAGCCAGAAGAGAGTGAGGGCCAATATTCAACATTCTTTAAGAAAAGATTTTTCAACCCAGAATTTCATATGCAGCCAAACTAAGCTTCATAGGCGAAGAAGAAATAAAATCCTTTACAGACAAGCAAATGCTGAATGATTTTGTCACCACCAGGTCTGCCTTACAGGAGCTCCTGAAGGAAGCACTAAATATGGAAAGGAAAAGCCAGTACCTGCCCCTGCAAAAACATACCAAATTGTAAAGACCATTGACACTATGAAAAAAACTGCATCAAACAACAGGCAAAATAGCCAGCTAACATAATGACAGGATCAAATTCACACATAACAATATTAACCTTAAATGTAAATGGGCTAAATGCCACAGTTAAAAGACACAGACTGGCAAATTGGATAAAGAGTCAAGACCCATTGGTGTGCTGTATTTAGGAGACTCATCTCATGTGCAAAGACACACATAGGTTCAATATAAGAGATAAAGGAAGATTTACCAAGCAAATGGAAAGCAAAAAAAGCACGGGTTGCAATCCTAGTCTCTTATAAAAGACTTTAAACCAACAAAGATCAAAAAAGATAAAAGGAATCAATGCAACAAGAAGAGCTAACTATCCTAAATATATACGCACCCAATACAGGAGCACCCAGATTCATAAAGCAAGTTCTTAGAGACCTACAAAGAGACTTAGACTGCCACACAATAATAGTTGGAGACTTCAACACCCCACTGTCAGTATTAGACAGATCAATGAGATAGAGAATTAACAAGGATATTCAAGACTTGAACTCAGCTCTGGACCAAGTGGGCCCGATAGACATCTACAGAACTCTCCACCCGAAATCAACAGAATATACAATCCTCTCAGCATCACATCACACTTATTCTAAAATTGACCACATAAATGGAAGTAAAACATTCCTCAGCCAATGCAAAATAATGGAAAACATAACAGTCTCTCAGACCACAGTTCAATCAAATTAGAACTCAGGATTAAGAAACTCACTCAAAACCTCAAAACAACATGGAAACTGAGCAACCTGCCCCTGAATGACTACTGGGTTAATAACAAAATTAAGGCAGAAATAAATAAGTACTTTGAAACCAATGAGAACATAGGCAAAACATACCAGAATCTCTGGGACACAGCTAAAGGAGTGTTTAGAGGGAAATTCATAACACTAGATACCCACAGGAGAAAGTGGGAAAGATCTAAAATCAACACCCTAACATCACAATTAAAAGAACTAGTGAAGCAAGAGAAAACAAATTCAAACCTAGCAGAAGACAAGAAATAACTAAGATCAGAGCAGAACTGAAGGAGATAGAGACATGAAAAACACTTCAAAAAATCAATGAATCCAGGAGCTGATTTTTTGAAAAGATTAACAAAATAGATATACTGTTAGCCAGACTAACAAAGAAGAAAAGAGAGAAAGAATCAAATAGATGCAATAAAAAATGATAAAGGGATTATTGCCACTGATCCCACAGAAATACAAACTACCATCAGAGAATACTATAAACACCTGTACACTTTATTTGCATAGAAGAAATTGATAAATTCCTGGACATATACACCCTGCCTAGACTAAACCAAGAAGAAGTCAAATCCCTGAATAGACCAATAACAAGTTCTGAGATTGAGGCAGTAATTAATAGCCTACCAACCAAAAAAAAAAGCCCGGGACCAGATGAATTCACAGCCAGATTCCACGAGAGGTACAAAGAGGAGCTGGTACCATTCCTTCTGAAACTATTCCAAACCAAAGAAAAAGGATTCCTCTTTAACTCTTTTTACGAGGCCAGGATCATCCTGATATCGAAACCTGCCATAGACACACCAAAAAAAGGAAGTTTCAGGCCAATATCCCTGATGAACATCAATGCAAATATCCTCAATAAAATACTGACAAACCGAATCCAGCAGCACGTCAAAAAGTTTATCCACCACGATCAAGTCAGCTCCATCCCTGAGATGCAAGGCTGGTCCACCATACACAAATCAATAAACATAATCCATCATATAAACAGAACCAATAATGAAAACCACATGATTATCTCAACAGATGCAGAAAAGGCCTTCAACAAAATTCAACACCCCTTCAAGCTAAAAACTCTCAATAAACTAGGTATCAATGGAATGTATCTCAAAATAATAAGAGCTATTTATGACAAACCCACAGCCAATAACATACTAAATGGGCAAAATTTGGAAGCATTCCCTTTCAAAACCAGCACAAGGCAAGTATGCCCTCTCTCACCATTCCTACTCAACATAGTATTGGAAGTGCTGGCCAGGGCAATCAAGGAAGAGAAAGAAATAAAGCTTATTCAATTAGGAAAAGAGGAAGTCAAATTGTCTCTGTTTGCAGATGACATGATCGTATATTTAGAAAACCCCATCGTCTCAGCCCAAAATCTCCTTAAGCTGATAAGCAACTTCAGCAAAGTCTCAGGATACAAAATCAATGTCCAAAAATCACAAGCATCCCTATACACCAATAGTAGAAAAACAGAGAGCCAAATCATGAGTGAATTCCCACTCACAATTGCTACTAAGAGAATAAAATACCTAAGAATACAACTTACAAGGGATGTGAAGTATCTGTTCAAGGAGAACTGCAAACCTCTACTCAAGGAAATAAGAGAGGACACAAACAAATGAAAAAATATTTTATACTCATGGATAGGAAGACTTAATATCTTGAAAATGGCTGTACTGCCCAAAACAATTTATAGATTCAATACTGTCCCCATCAAGCTACCACTGACTTTCTTTACAGAATTAGAAAAAAAACTACTTTAAATTTCATATAGAACCAAAAAAGAGCCTGTATAGCCAAGACAATCCTAAGCAAAAGAAAACAAAGGTGGAGCCATCATGGTACCTGACTTCAAACTATACTACAAGGCTACAGTAACCAAAACAGCATGGTACTGTTACCAAAACAGATATATAGACTGATGGAACAGAACAGAGCCCTCAGGAATAATGCCACACATCTACAACCATCAGATCTTTGATAACCCTGACAAAAATAAGCAATGGGGAAAGGATCCCCTATTTAATAAATGGCATTGGGAAAACTGGCTAGCCATATACAGGAAACTGAAACTGGACCTCTTCCTTACACCTTATACAAAAATTAACTCAAGTTGGATTAAAGACTTAAATGTAAGACCAAAAACCATAAAAACTCTAGAAGAAAACCTAGGCAATGCCATTCAGGACATAGGCATGGGCAAAACTTCATGACTAAAACACCAAAAACAATAGCAACAAAAGCCAAAATTGACAAATGGGATCTAATTAAACTAAACAGCTTCTACACAGCAAAAGAAACTATCATCAGAGTGAACAGACAACCTACAGAATAGAAGAAAATGTTTGCAATCTATCCATCTGACAAAGGGTTAATATCCAGAATTTACAAGGAGCTTAAACAAATTTACAAGAAAAAAACAACCCCCTCAAAAAGTGAGTGAAAGATATGAACAAACACTTCTCAAAAGAAGACATTTATGTGACCAACAAACATATTTAAAAAAAGCTTATCATCACTGGTCATTAGAGAAATGCAAATCAAAACCACAATGAGATACCATCTCACACCAGTTAGAATGGCGATCATTAAAAAGTCAGGAAACAACAGATGCTGGAGAGGATGTGGAGAAATAGGAATGCTTTTACACTGTTTTCCCACCACTGTTGGTGGGAGTGTAAATTAGTTCAACCATTGTGCAATACAGTGTGGCGATTCCTCAAGGATCTAGAACCAGAAATACCATCTGACCCAGCAATCCCATTACTGGGTATATACCCAAAAGATTATAAATCATTCTACCATAAAGACACATGCACACACATGTTTACTGCAGCACTGTTCACAATAGCAAATATTTGGAACCAACACAAATGCCCATCAATGATAGACTGGATAAAGGAAATGTGGCACATATAAACTATGGAATACTATGCAGCCATAAAACCAGGATGAGTTCATGTCCTTTGCAGGGACATGGATGAAGCTTGATACCATCATTCTCAGCAAACTAACACAGGAACAGAAAACCAAACACCACATGTTCTCACTCATAAGTGGGAGCTGAACAATGAGAACACATGGACACAGGGAGGGGAACATCACACACCGGGGCCTGTCAGGGGGTGGGGCGCTAGGGGACGGATAGCACTAAGAGAAATACCTAACATAGATTATGGCTTGATGGGTGCAGCAAACCACCATGGCACATGTATACCTGTGTAACAAACTTGCACATTCCGCACAGGTACCTCAGAATTTAAAGTATAATAATTAAAAAAAAAAAAACAGAATTTCTGCAATACTATAGGTGAAGAAAAAAAAAATAAAACTGACAATCTTTCCAGGAACTGAATTATAAAGTCAGCAGAATTTCAGAGAAAGTAAAATTTTAAAATAGTCAAGTCTGCAATGCCTAGACCAAAACTTTGATTAGTACACATGAAATTAAAATATCCAGGTGTATGACTCAAAAATCTTAAATATGGCTGGGTTAGTGGCTCATACCTGTAATCCTAGCACTTCAGGAGGCCAATGTGGGATGATTACTTGAGGCCAGGAGTTCGAGACCACCCTGAGCAACATAGGGAGACCTTGTCTCTACAAAAAAAAAAGAAGAGAGAGAGAGAGAGAAATAGCAGGGTCAACATGGTGCACACCTGTAGTCCTAACTACTCAAAAGACAGAGTAAGAATCATTTGAGCTCAGGAGGTGAAGGTTGCAGTGAACTATAATTTCAACACCGCACTTTAGCCTGGGTGACAGAGAGAGATTCTGTCTCAAGAAAAATAAATAAATACAATAAAATCTTGAATACCTGGATTCTCTTAAACCTTCTGGGTCCACCAGAAAGGATCCGTTTTTCCTTGTAAAAAATGAACACTGCTCCCTTCGTTTGGCTTTGTCCCCACCCAAATCTCATCTTGAATTGTAACTCCCACAATTCCCACTTGTAATAGGAGGAACCTGGTGGGAGGTAATTGAATCATGGGGGCGGGTCTTTCCTATGCTGTTCTCATGGTGCTGAATAAGTCTCATGCAAGCTGATGATTTTAAATATGGGAGTTTCCATGCAAAAGCTCTCTCTTTTTGTCTACTGCCATCCACGTAAGACATGATTTACTCCTCCTTGCCTTCCACCATGATTGTGAGGCCTCCCCACCCATGAGGAACTGTAAATCCAATAAATCTCTTTTTTTTGTAAATTGCCCAGTCTTGGGTATGTCTTCATCAGCAGCATGAATACGGACTAATACAGTAAATTGGTATCAGTAGAGTGGGGCCCTGCTGAAAAGATACCCAAAAATGTAGAAGCAAATTTGGAAGTGGGTAACAGGCAGAGGTTGGAACAGTTTGGAGGGCTCAGAAGAATCCAGGAAAATAAGGAAAACTTTGGAACTTCCTAGAGACATGTTAAATGGCTTTGAACAAAATGCTGATAGTAATATGGACAATGAAATTCAGGCTGAGGTGATTTCAGATGGAGATGAGAAACTTGTTGGGTACTGGAGTAAAGGTAACTCTTGCTATTTTTTATCAAAGAGACCAGTGACATTTTGCCCCTGCCCTAGAGATTTGTGGAATTTGAACTTGAGAGAGATGATGTAGGGTATTTGATGGAAGAAATTTCTAAGCAGCAAAGCATTCAAGATGTGACTTGGGTGCTGTTAAAGTCATTCAGTTTTAAAAGGGAAACAGAGCATAAAAGTTTGGAAAATTTGCAGCCTGACAATTGATAGAAAAGAAAATCTCATTTTCTGAGAAGAAATCCAAGCTGGATGCAGAAATTTGCATAAGTGACACGGAGCCGAATGTTAATCTCCAAGACAATGGGGAAAATATCTCCAGGGAGTATCAGAGGCTGTCATGGCAGCTCTTCCCATCACAGTCCCAGAGGCCTAGGAGGAAAAGGTGGTTTTGTTTCCGGCCCCAGGGTCCCCATGCTGTGTGTAGCATAGGGACTTGGTGCCCTATGTCCCAGCTGCTCCAGCCGTGGCTGACAGGGGCCAATGTAGAGCTCAAGCTGCAGCTTCAGAGGGTGCAAGCCTCAAGACTTGGCAGCTTATACATGATGTTGAGCCTGCCAGTGCACAGAAGTCAAGAATTGGGCTTTGGGACCCTCCACCTAAATTTCGGAGGTTGTATGGAAGTGCCTGGATGTTCAGGCAGAAGTTTGCTGCAGGGGTGGCACTTTCATGGAGAACCTCTGCTAGGGCAGTGCACAAGGTAAATGTGGGGTCGGAACCCCCAAACAGAGCTCCTACTTGGGCACTGCCTAGTGGAGCTGCGAGAAGAAGGCCACCATCTTCCAGACCCTAGAATGGTAGATCCACCAACAGCTTGCACCGTGCACCTGGAAAAGCCACAGAGACTCAATGCCAACCCATGAAATCAGCCTGGAAGGAGGCTGTACCTGCAAAGCCACAGGAATGGAGCTGCTCAAGGCCGTGGGAACCCACCACTTGCATCAGCATGACCTGGATGTGAGACATGGAGTCAAAGGAGATCATTTTGGAGCTTTAAGATTTGACTGCCCTGCTGGATTTTGGACTTGCATGGGGCCCATAACCCCTTTGTTTTGGCCAGTGTCTCCCATTTGGAATGGTTGTATTTACTCAATGCCTCTACTCCCATTGTATCTAAGAAGTAGCTAACTTGCTTTTGATTTTACAGGCTCATAGACAAAAGGGACTTGCCTTGTCTCAGATGAGACTTTGGACTGTGGACTTCTGAGTTAATGCTGAAATGAGTTGAGACTTTGGGGAACTGTTGGGAGGGCATGATCAGTTCTGAAATGTGAGGACATGAGATTTGAGAAGGGTCAGGAATGGAATGATATGGTTTGACATTGCCCCCACCCAAATCTCATCTTGAATTGTACCTCTCACAATTCCCATGTGTTGTGGAAGGTAATTGAATCATGGGGGCGGGTCTTTCCTGTGCTGTTCTTATGGTGCTGAATAAGTCTCATGCAAGCTGATGGTTTTAAAAACAGGAGTTTCCCCATACAAGCTCTCTCTTTTTGCCTGCTGCCATCCATGTAAGATGTGACTTAATCCTCCTTGCCATCCACCATGATTGTGAGGCCTCCTCAGCCACATGGAACTGGTAGTCCATTAAACCTCTTTCTTTTGTAAATAGCCTAGTCTTGGGTTTGTCTTTATCAGCAGCATGAATACACCCCTTTACTTGAAGATGATGCAGAGACTTCTGCCTTTCAAGATAGCACATCTCCCTCTGAAGATTCATCTCAACCTTTGCTTGGAGCATCTGGTGACTGAAGAAGAGGCCAAATCCATGAATAATCATTATACAATGAGTGGGCAACATTATATGGTGATGATTCAACCAGTCCTTCTTCACAGAAACCTATGACCATTTACTCAGGTAATCATAAACTGGAGATAGAGAATACACAAAAATTTTAAGGTCACATTGATTATACAGAAACTCAAAATTATTCAGAACTCCATGTCAGAGTGGAGGTAGATGGTAATAAATATATTCATTTGGTCTAGTTTACAATGGATGCAACAGGGCATGGAACAACCCAGTAAGTCCTTCCTCTATCTTTCACATTCTATTGGAAGAGACATATTTAGTAGTTGTCTGACATCTTCCCAACCCCAGGATTTTTGCTTGGCATTTGGAGGCAAGAGATATCACGGGAAAGACAAAGTGGATACTTCTGTCCAGATATGACAATAAGTAGTTAGGCTGCTGGATAGCCTAAGAAGAAAATGATAACCAGCAGCTCATAGCCCACAGGGGTGAGGGTCAAGATCACCCACTGGATTAGCCACCTAGGCTAGCAAAGGTGCTAACCAAGAGTGAAGAGAATCTTGAATGGGTAGAAGAGAAATAAGAGAATAAGTATCAGTTGCAGCCTCCAGACAAGCTATTGCAGCATCAGGGCTATTTTCAACTACATATTTAAATGTAATGGCTTGGATATAGTGTGTTAAAGAAAATATATTATTAATTTTAACTTTTTTGATGTGGTGATTTGAAACTTTAAAATAATATATGTATCATGGTTGTGGCTTCCATTACATTCTTATTGGACAAGTGTGCCCTATAATATCTACATATAACCAAAATGTCATCTAAAACCTCTAATAAAAATCCATCAGTTACTAAATACATGTTTTGTAGCTGACAGAGTAAGATCTATTCAGGTGGCCACACTCTGCAGAAGAATAAACTACACAATGCAAGCTAATGAGAATCTGAAAAAGGAAAACATCCTTTCAGCCAATTCCTTTCTCCCTCTTTAGAGGAATAGCATAAGTACTACCCGTGAAACAGGACAGAAAGCTGCAGGAATATGATTATTTATAATTTTAAAAGATCATGAGACTCTGTCTTAGATGCTTTATCTGAACTCAAAACCTATATCCATATCACCACATCACACAACTATATCTGCAGCAGTTGAATCTGTTCAGATTGTAGAGGGTCCTGCAGAGCTGCATGCATGGAGAAAATGCATCCTAAAAGTGAGAGCTCACAGTAAGATATGATCATTACATTTTAGAAACAAAGTTTAAAATAAAGCAGTGACCACAATATTCAGTCATCCACCATAAAATTATGTGCAGTAATCTCCATTTCTGGATATGGATTGCTAAATAGCAATATATAAACAAACAATATCAAAGTGCCTTTTTGGCTAACTGCCACTCTGCCACTTCTGAACTGAAGCCAATTATGACATCACTCGAGCTTCTTGTCCTTTGCTGACCTTCCTACTCATGTTGCCAAAATGTATTAAATTTCTCCTCTACGATTTGTCTTATTCCCTTTGTCTTTGTTTCTTTAAATAATGACTTGACATCACTTGACCTCAACCTACAATTTTGGCTGGTAATATCACTGAGCAATTCACTTACATAAATGGCTTTGCATAATCATCCATTGTGTCACAGAAAAATAATCGTGCAAGAAAAGGTTGAATTTGTATAATGTAGAACTGAAGAAAATTATTTTAATATTCCAAAAATCATACATCCATTTAGCAGGTAAGATGGAATATTCTATCAAGCTGTAAAAATCCAGTTTCCATGGTACTATAATTAATAAAATGTATAGTTAGTAAACCCATCTATGCATACTGTTTATTTTAGTATTGTTCAAGTGAAAGTCACTCTGTCCATTAAATCAAAAATAAAAGTGATCCAGTGAAATTGCTTGGTCAATGTGCTTGTAGTTTTTCAATTCAGAAATATACCCTAGTTTTATAAAGGATTGAAATAAGGCATACTGATCTTACATGCATTAGTCCAAGATGAGAAGTCCTTTCCCTGCGAAGGGACCTTAGGCATCTGCCAAGTTCTGGTGATCTATTACATGTAACAATGTTTTCTCTGCATTAGCTAAGGTCTTCAAGCATAATCGAAATCCTAGATATATTTGCATATCCACATATGCTAAGGAAAATAACTGTTTATCAATTTGATAAAAAATGAATCTCTTTGGCATGTTAAAAGTTTTTTCTGAAAAAAATAGAGCCCAGCTAATAAAAAATATTTTCTGATAGAATAATTATGTAATAAAATGTGTGCTAGTCTGTATTATGATGTTGACCCATAACATAGTTAGAGCTCAATCAACTATACTTGCAAAATAGTAGCACTTGTTTGTACTTCGTAGTTTACAAGTTCTTTTCACATGTAACATTCAGAATCTTGTAAAATCTTGTGACTTAGGAAGGACACATACATATTATTAGTCTGGTTTAGAGCTGAGAAAACAAAGGCCCAAGGACATGCTGTCAGAAAGGATCAAAGCCAGAACTTGAATTCAAGGTTTCTGAATCTGAATTTCAAATCCTTTCTATTATATATAACTGGAAAAGAGTATCTGGATTCTTTACCTAATAGTACCTGAAATGTGAGTATACATATTGAATAACTATGATAGGGCTATTGGGACTCACCAGTCTCAGTGACCAAATTGTGGCAGAAAAAAATAACATAATGAATGATTGGTTTCTTTTTTTCAGTGATTTGCTTTTGCAGTCATTGATGATTCTTAAGTGCCAGTCTTCCTGTGCACTATAACACAGGCTGACAGGTACTGCCTCCCCTCAGAGCTCCTAATCTAAAGGAAGAAATACAGTACATATCTGTGCATCCAGAACATGGAGAGGTGCTGTAGCAGAGTGTCAAAAAAGAATAAGCCACATAGAGAAGAGAAATCCTGAGAAAATATTGTGGTATATAATAGATCACCAGAACTTGGCAGATGCCTGGGGTCCCTTCCCAGCGAAAGAACTTGTCATCTTAGACTAATGCATATAAGATCAGTGGATCTTGTCTTCATCCTTTGTAAAACTAATGTGTAGATTTCTAAGACAATTTCTAGCTTCACATTATTATTATCCTATACTCTCATACACCATTGGAGGAGTATCAATTAGTAAAATCTTTTTGGAGAACAACTTGCAAAATCAAAAAAACATGTACACATTGACTCTGCAATTTCACTGGATCCACTTATTTCCACCTCTACTATTAGGGCTGGTCAAAGTCACAATCATGTCTTATCTGGACTACAATGGTAGCCTTCTTACACTGGTCCTCCTGCTTCCACTTCAGTGCCACTACAGTATCTTCTTTCTACAGTGATGGGAGAAATCATCCTAAAAGGCAAATCAGATGGTACTACTTCCCTACTTAAAAATCTCCTCATGATTTACGATAACACTTGAAAGAAAATTCAAATTTCTTCTCTGACTTACAAAGCCCCCAGAAGTCTGTCTTTGTTTCTAATCTCAATCATTCTACTCTCTTGCATGCACCACACATTGACTACCCTGGCCTTCTTTCTGTTTCTACATTTGGGCTTTGCACAAGCTGTCCCATCTGCCTCAAATACCCTTCTGTGCTTATCCCTTCAAATTTCAACTTAAATGTCACCTCTTCAAACGGGCTGTACCTGACAACCCAATCTAAAGGTGACTACCTAACCAATCTGCAGCATATCACTGTTTTAATTCTCTGCACGGCATTATCCACAATGTGATACTTTCCTTATTTATTTATTTATACAATTAATTTTTCATGCATCTATTTTTGAATATATGTATGCATGTTCATACATATTTTCTATTTATTTGTTTATTTTTTCCTTCCCTCTATGCACTCCAGAGAATTTAAGTTTATAAGAACAGGGAATCCGGGCATGGTGGCGCATGCCTGTAATCCTAGCAACTCAGGAGGCTGAGGCATGAGAATCGCTGGAACCTGGGAGGCAGAGGTTGCAGTGAGCCGAGATTGTGCCACTGCACTCCAGCCTGGGCAGTGGCAGCAAGACACCATCTCAAAAATAAATAAATAAAATAAGAAGTCCTGTTCCAT
This sequence comes from Homo sapiens, assembly GCF_000001405.40. Classification (NCBI taxonomy): domain Eukaryota; kingdom Metazoa; phylum Chordata; class Mammalia; order Primates; family Hominidae; genus Homo; species Homo sapiens. Next base: position 110,031 of record NT_187628.1, read on the forward strand.
TCACGAGTGTATCCCCAGATCCAATAACAATGCCTGACTCATAATTGGCACTTAATCACTGAATTTTTAATTCTAATAATGTAACCTGTGGGCATTTTTCCATGCACTATGGTTCCAAGTATGCACAAAGAGTAAATTTCCAGCTTCCTTAACTCATGCATTAAGTGCCTACTAGTTGTGATGCCTGAAGAACTGGGAATAAAATCGGTGTGGGATGAATATCAGATGACCTAGAAGAAAATTTGAATTCACATTGAAAAGTGTGAAATTAAAAAAAAAAGAAAAACACCTAATATAAAACAAAATTGAAATGTTATATAGGGTTCATTCTGGGCATCCAACATTCATCTAATGGAATAATAGAAGAAGGAACAGAGAAGACAAAATGAAAGAAAAACATCAAAAAAAAAAAAAAAAAAAACACAGAAAAATTCTTTGAAAGCTAAGGAAAAACAAGTCTCCAAAATGAAAAGTGCCTATTAAGTCCTAAGCAGGCAGAATTAAGCTAAGAAAAAAAAAAGTACATGTATTTTCATGAAGGCTCAGATAAATAGGAGATTGTAAACATACCTACACACTCTTCCTAAAAATTACTTGAGGATCCACTCTAGCAAAATAAATAAGAAAATATCAAAAAGTAAAAGACAAGTGGTCCAAAAAATTCTAGAACAACACGGGAGCTCAGTAAAAAGGAGACCCAATATTATGGCTATGAAATAGACTTGAAACCAACGGATACCAATTAGAAAAGCAAATAGGAGAACTCCAGAAAAAAATGTCTTTAGGACAAAGAATGAAACAGAAATCATAACAGATTATATGTCAAGAATCTAAAAGATCTTAATTAAGTGATAAGTAAAACAACGTAGAAGTCAATTAGAAACTCCAGTTTTAGTTTTCTGCATATGGCTAGCCAGTTTTCCCAACACCATTTATTAAATAGGGAATCCTTTCCCCATTGCTTGTTTTTGTCAGGTTTGTCAAAGATCAGGTGGTTGTAGATGTGTGGTGTTATTTCTGAGGGCTCTGTCCTGTTCCATTGGTCTATATATCTGTTTTGGTACCAGTACCATGCTGTTTTGGTTCCAGTACCATGCTGTTTTGGTTATTGTAGAATTGTAGTATAGTTTGTAGCCAGGTAGCATGATGCCTCCAGCTTTGTAGAATGCTATACAAGTAATTCATGGTTCAAATATAAAATAAACTAAAATTAAGCATCATTTTGAGAAAATGATAGAAAGACAATCCATTTAATCTTGATATTTGAAACAATCTATATAAAGGAGGATTATTTCAATGACTTAGAATTATATTTATTAGCTGTAAATCCAATTACACTACCTGATTTTATAGTAAATAACACTTACATTTTCAAAGTATTGCAAAACTCTTTGCTTTCAGTATTCAGAATCAGTGTACAAAGTGCCTAAAATGATTATATTTGCACAATAAAATGTAAACTTTATACTTTGAGAGTGAAGATGTAGTTGACAGGAGTTTAGAAGTGGAGACTTGTGAGAAGCATGCCAAAAAGTATCAATTTTCTCTTTCTAAATGAAAAAAAGAACTAAAAATTTACATTTTGTATCTCGAGTTATAAATGCTACCAATAGAAAAACAAACATAATATATAATAGGTAAATTAAAGATTCTGATTCCTGTTTGATCCAGAATCAAACAGGAATGATTTTCCTCTGAAAGTTGCCTTCAGTCATACTCTGAGGTTTCTCTTTCCTTCCATTACTAATATCTGAGCACATCCTTTGGCTCTCTGGTCACTTTCACTTACAGAAACAAACGTAATTTTGTAATAAAAGACTTATGTTGAAAAGGTATACTTTTGTCTAAATCAGAATTTCAAATTTGTATCCAATTCAAACATCTCCCTTTATCTCAAGCCCCTTCTTTAGCAAGCTCTGAGCCTTGGGTCAAAGGAGAAGCTTTCATTCAACATCCTGTTACAAATGTAATCAACAAAACTTGGGGGAGGAATGGGGAAGTATAAATTAGATAAATTTACCATCTTTTATACCATGAAATCTATTACTACTCTTATAAAGTTAACATATCAAGAAATAGAGGTATAAGTACACTGCTGAAAATTATGATAGTAACCACTACAACACCTAAAAACAGAAATAAGTAGTTACCCTATAGAGTGGGACTGTGAACAGGTGATTTTTTCCTTCCATTTAATAATACCTTGTAGCCTATGACCATAGTTATGCTGAACATATATGACATTCATATGAATAAACAAGTGATGAAAGAAATAATAAAGCACAATGTTAGAAGAAGGGAGTAGTTAAGATTGTCAGATCATCAAATTTCTTTGAGGAGTCAAAGTAAAATAAGAATTGAAAATAATCATGGGATTTAGCAACATGAAGGTCATTGTTCACATTAACTAAGAAAATTTTACTGGAGTGGCCAGGCGCAGTGGCTCACACCTATAATCTCAGCACTTTGGGAGACCTGGGCAGGTGGATCCCTTGAGCTCAGGAGTTCGAGACCAACCTGGGCAACATGACAAAACCCCATCTCTATAAAACAAACAAACAAACAAAAAATCAGCCAGGTATTGTGGCATGCACGCATAGTCTCATCTACTCGGGGAGCTGAGGTGGGAGGATCACTTGATCCACCGGGTGGTTGAGGTTGCAGTGAGCCGAGATAGCACCACTGCACTCCAGCCTGGACGATAGAGTGAGACTTTGTCTCAAAAACAAGAAAATAAAAGAAAATTTTACTGGAATAATTGGTGTAGGTGAAGTAGGCTGAGAATGAGTAAGCAGTGAGAAATACAAGACAACAAATACTAACTCTCTCAAGATATTTGGCTTCAAGGAGGAGAATAGAAATAGGGCTATAGTTTGAAAGTGGAGTACATACTACTTGCAGTCTTTGACATTTTTATTTTAAGATAAGAGATACTTAAACACATTTAAATGTACATGGAAATGATTGAGTAGAGGAATCCTGGTTTAGTGACTGGGGAAAGAGAAGGTAAGCTAATAAGTTTCCTGAGAAGGATAGCAGGAATATAATCAGAAGCAAGAGATGGAAGACTGGACCTTAGCTAGAAAGAAGAATAGTACTATCTTGTACAAGAGAACTGAAGACAAAATGAAGGTAGATACATCCGTCTATGAGTACATGAATAGATTTGGTGACAAAAAGTTGAGAAGACTCACCCAGTGGTTTTTATATACTCTGTGAAGAATGTAACAAAGTTACATGCAGAAGTTTGAGGAGAGTAGAAAAGTTGTGAAATATTTTTTGCACAGAATGGGAGAGGGTTGACCAGTAAAGTGTAGCAGGCTCACTGGTCAATATTAAGGTCCAAGTAAGGAACTAATGAATGGAAGTTGAAAGCACTATGCTGAGTTCATTATTTTCTCTATGAGTGCTCGTTTGCTTATGCACATTCTTAGAGAAACCAGGTATTTCAGGTGATGAAGGGCTGGTACTTTGCCAGAGAGAAGTGATGAAAGACAGAAGGGCAAGGCAATTTTGCCTATTTTTAGAGAGGTATTGAAACTGGCGTAGATACGTAATTTATGAAAAGCAATATAACATTCTATTTTTCTCTAACTGAACTTGATTTTACTTTCAATCACCATTTATCCCTGAGGTGGAAAATTTTTATTCAAAAAAAATTACTAATGCATGGAATCTAAGCCAGATAGGAAGCAAAGTGAAGACAGTAAAGGGATAACAACAAGGGAGATGACACAAGAGAGACTAAGCCTAATTCTCACCTATGGATGATTATGGGTCTATGAATGTTCTGCCAGCCTGGTTCAGAATTGGCTCCATAACTGGATAATGCTGGATCTGAAGGTGCTGGACTCCCAAACTCCAAATAATCCATACTAGGGAAAACAGGGGCTGACAATAAGAAACTGCCAGAAGCATAAGCTGACTAGAATATTAATAAGTCCATATCTTGGCAATTATAATACCCAAAGGCCTTTCTATCCACTTTTGCCCATTTCAGTTTTGTCATGTGATTTTCATTTAGACGGAGAATAAAGATATGTGGTCATTATGCTAGTTTCACTGGATGCTTTAAAACTAATGCCACTTTCAATTCTTGTTTCTAAGACAAGTGAAATTATCTCTGGCTGCATAAGCAAGGTGGTATTTAGTAGTCTAAATCTCTCTCCTGTATTTAAAATTGGTCTCTGTCTCTAACATTAGTTATACAACTCTCTACCCTTTGCATTTTAGGTGAATCACAGCCACAAAAGCTTACTCAGCTGGGGTGTTTCCTAATCCTATCAACTCAAGTCAGAGTCATCTTTTTCCACCTACATACACTTAGCTTTCAAATCTAAAATCCAAAGAAACATTTAAATTATTAAAGTCAATCTTGTGAGACAGGATTTGTCACAATATAGGACAAATAATTTAAAGAAATTCCACTTTAAATTTGAACTTACGTTGACTAGTCAAGGCTCTTTTCCAAATCAAATCAGTAAAATAGTATTTGCTATGTTTTAGCATTTTGTTTTAATGATCATGTTTGGGCATTGTTTTTATGTTTTATTATTTTTACTACTCCCATAATATGGATTTATAATGTAACAACTATCTATTTTATATCTGCTATGCTTGAAATACTGTGTTATGTGCCCCAAGCTTAAAAAGTAGAAAGTCACAATTTTTGCTTTGTAAGTTCTAAATCCTTTGATGTGGATACACAAGTACACAAGTATACCTTACAATAGCACTTGAATTAAGTGTGGAAGGAGTCTTGAGACTGTGAACTAAAGCCGAGACAGGCAGAACTTAAAAGATGGAAAGGAAGAAGAGATATCTAATTAGGCAGAGATGAAGGACTCCAACAAAACCCCATATTTCTCAGGCTGAGTCAATGGAAGAAAAGTGTTATATCTGGCAGAAATTGGATATTTAGGAATAATGAGTTGTTTTGTGGAGGAAGGTGATAAATCTGTTTTGAGAAATTTTTAGTTTAAAGAAACTGTGGAACATGCAAATAATGATGTCTAGCAGGCAGTTGGAAATGGGTAGCCAGAGCTTTGGAGCGGAGCTGTAGATCTCGGAGTTATTTGCATGAAGCAATAAAAGCTGCTACAATCTTAATGGTGAGAATTGGATAAAAACAAATTGTGCATGGGGTGGGGTGGTGGTATGAGGATAGAAATCTGGAGCATTTGGGGAAGAAGAAAAAAACGCAACAAAAGGAGACAGTAAGGGACATAAATATGAAACTAGTTGTCAGAGATACCCAAAGAGCCAAGATAATATAAAAAAAAAATCAGAAGAGAAAAAATTTTCATTAAGAACAGTGTGATCAACTCTGTCAAATGCCACAGAGATTTTGGAAATAAATCATTTCCTAAATCACTCAGTATTGTCAATCTTGGGAATATAGCGTATGTTACTCTTAATGAGAGCTACCAATATTAATTACTTTTCAAATTAATAATTATATTTTAATTCTCTCTTCAAGTTTAAGAAAGAAACATACACATAAAAATGTATCTGGATTTGTCTGAGTTGAGCTTCTCCTTTAGTAGGCAGGGATTTGCAGGTGTCCCCAGAGGTGATGACTCCCTTCATCATTGTAATTACACACCCTTTTCTTACCATCATTTCCAAGTACATGTCACTGGTCTCGGAGCAGGAAGGCTCCTTCTCCCAATTCAGTGTCTGTCAGAAGTCTTCCCTGTTCATCAGATTTAGTCACTCAATGCCGCCTAACAGTTGGAGAAAACATTGAGAGCCAGACTTAGCCAGACTTAGCCAGACTTGTGGGCCACAGCTGCTAAGGTTCTGAAAAGCATTGCACTGAAAATTAAAACCCACTAACTGAAAAAGAAAATAAAAATTCACAGAAATTAGTTTCTAAAGATCATGGCACTTGGTTGAGGAGATATTTAGAGAATCGACCCTTAAAATAACACCACGTAAACAAGTTCTAATTTAACATATCCCAAGAGTGACATTGTACTTGAACAAGTTTGACTAAGATTATTCTGTGAATTTTTTAAAGCCATACCACAATGCTATTATTCCAATGCTAGAATCATCTTTCTAAAGAGGACCTCAAAGATTTGGCAGGTAGGGGAGTAGCCTCATGTAGTCTTTTCTCTGCATTTCAAAGATTCTCCTGTTCTAGATTGATGAGGAGATTCCTGATGCCAATATTTTCTAGTAGTCTACTTTCACTGATAGAAGCAGCCAAAGAGAAATCTTAGTGTCCTGCACACAGCTGGTTAACTTACATTTGCCTTTATAGATGCATTGTATTTTTTGTCTTTGAAAGTGCTTGATCATCTTTTCCTTTTTCAAATGCTATTTTCTTTTTTCTAGAATATGAAAATAGATGCAATTTAAGTTGGGAAAAGTCAAAGGTGACATTAAAAAATATTTCACAACTAGGTAAGTAACTGGGGCATGGGAAAGAAGGCAGTTAGAAAGGTGGGAAGGCTCTTGGGGAGGCTCAAAAGATGGCCATTTAATAACAGAGAGAGTTCAGTCGTCTTTTAACAAATAGTATGTTCTTATGGGTTCCTACTCTTTGGATTACCACCCTGAGCAAACTTTTTCTTTATATGATTCCCTTAAATCTAAACTCTGATTTGTGAAAACCCAAGAGAAGCCTTCCACATGATTTCACTGCTTGCCAGGTTAAACCTGCAAAAGATGGTGTATCCATATTTCGTGACTTGGCTCTGGCCAGTTAGAAAAAAGACAAGCATATGGTATTACTTTCCATGACTGATGACTTTGCTCTGCTGACACCTTTCCTTCCCACACTGTTTACCCTACTAATGTAGCCACACAAAAGAAGTCAGCCTAAAAATGTCCTCAGAAGCTCTCAAGTTAGATAACTCAGAAGTTTCTTGTGAACATAAGTTGAAGGTATAAAGATACAGAGTCATAGTGTTGGTCTGGAAAGAAAGAACAACCTATTTTTAGTCATGGTTAGCACGAACCTATGTCTTGGATCTTACCATTTCAAATAGCTTGTGCCATTTTTTAAAATCATGTTCACCACTTTTTGGTTGAGTCATTGTAGTCTGTAATTAGAGAGCCTATAACAAGTTTTATATAAAATTTAAAAGTACTTACTAAAAAAATAAAAGAGTCAAATATAAGAATAAATACATGGTGAGGGATAGGGAAGTGTGGTATCTACAGGAGTCAGATACTTCCTTTGTGCTTCCTAAATTAATCAGGAAAGATTTATTGAAATAAAGGGCTTGGAAACCTTCTTTCAGCTAAAAAAAAAAAAAAAAAAAAGTCTTTCAAGTAGACCAGGAGAGAGAATGTATATTTTTCCTGAGATAAGTTGGTTAGGAAAAGGTCAACCTATGTCCTCTTTGTGGCCATCTTCAGAACAGTTAGATACCGAAGAGCCCAGAGAGTGCTGTAAATTGAAAATACAATTTTAATGCATTCTCATCGAAGTTGTTTCTCTTCACCTGCTGTCTGCATGTTCTGCCTAATGTTTTGTTGTTGTGGTTGTTGTTGCTGTTTTGAGACAGAGTCGCCCTTTCACCCACGCTGGAGTGCAGTGACGCGATCTCGGCTCACTGCAACCTCCACGTCCCGGGTTCAAGCGATTTTTCTCTCTCAGCCTCCAGAGTAGCTGCGCCTACAGGCATGCATCACCACGCCCAGCTAATTTTTGTATTTTTAGTGGAGGGGGGCGGGTTTCACCATGTTGGCCAGGCTGCTCTCGAACTCCTGACCTCAATGATCCGCCTGCCTCAGCCTCCAAAACTACTGGGGTTACAGCTATGAGCCACCTTGCCCAGGATACTGTCTAGTGTTTTTAAAATGCAAATGTGATCACTTTTTATTAATGTGACCTAGACATATGTTTCATTGTTCAAGAAAAGCACTCTCCCCTTGATTTCTAAAACCAGAAAATATAAAGCTGAGAGTGATTATTTCATTCATGCAACAAATATATTTGTGTATCTATTACAGGTTCAGCCTTGTATTCATTCCATTCTTCATTTCCCACATGCGAAATCTAAAACTCAGAGATTTGAAATCTCTTAACTGAGTTCACAAATCAGGACAAATTTTTCTTAGAATACAGAAATAGTTTGAGCCTATGAAAACTAAGTCTGTTTAAATCCAGGTAGTAACACAGTTGGTTTCCTTCTTCTGAGCCTTTCAGGAAATATTAATGTAGAAAAAAATCTGCTGTTACAGACATGCAAGGTGTATCTTGCCGCATGAGAATTACTTAATGGGTACAATGCACATTATTTGGGTGGTGGCTACCCTAAAGCCTTGACTTGGCCCCCATGCAATCTAGGCATGCAACAAAATTTTACCTGTGCCCCATACCCTTATATAAATTAAAAAAAAAAAAACTTTACAAAGGTCAGGTCATCCAAGAATCAACAGCATTTAGATAGATGTTTTAGGTCCCTGTAGCTCAAAGTATGGCCCTGAGATTATCAGCACCTGGGAACTTATTAGAAATGCAGAATCTTAGGCCCCATCCAGAGTTCCTCAATTATTTCTGCATTTTAACAATATCCTCCAGGTGATTTGTATATGCATTATTAAACTTTGAAAAGTACTGTTTTAAATGATCTTGAAAATAACTTATAATCTTAAAAATGCATGAGCTAAAATGTGTGTGTTTTAATGAAATCAGGGGTATATTATTATTCAAAGTAATTCCAGTGTGAATCTTTTCAAAGTGAAGAATCTCTTTTAAAAACAAATTATCTCCAATCTATTTTGGATATTAATAGGGATTTGTTTGTACATGGACTTCCTATTGTATAAGATGAGGTCAATATAGGAATCATGGAAGCAAGAGTGTGAAGAAATAAAATGCCTTCAAAAGAATACATTGAACAAGCAATACATAAATTGCTTTTATTTAGAAATGCATTAGTTCAAAGATGATTTATACAGAATTTATTTTAATTCAGTAAGATGTTGGGTGAAATTACCTTTCACTATTTATAAACAAAGATAACTCTATATTAATTCCAAATAAAAAATTTTCATTCTTAGAGAAAAGCATTATTTTACAAATTTTCAGGTCTCTATTTACACACAAGTAATTGCTATGTAAGCAAGAGCAAGTATTGTTGTTTGTACACTCTACTAATTGCAAATGATTCTTAGCTAGTAATTAAAGTAACTTTAAAAAGACAACATTTGGTTTACTTGGTTTGCCTGGCTGTGCACATAAAAATAATCAAACCGTCTTTAAAGCCAGAAGACTATCCATGAATTTAGAGAAGTCTAAATTAGGCTGCTTTGCTAAATTTTAACTGATTACTCATTTAATATCTGTATCTTTTCTTCCCCTAAGGTCCTTTTAAAGTACTTAAGGACTATATTATTTCTAGTTTATTGACTTTTAAAACTCTAAACTAAATAGAGAGTATGACATTTCTGTCAAATCTAAATCAATATCTTGCATATAACACCAGTGTCTTAACCTATATGTGCAACATTTTGTTTTGTAGAGTAAAAATCTTTATGGCTTTAAACATCAATTTTATTACTTTTAAGTCCACATTGCCTGGTAGGTGTCCTCTGATCATCATCCTTCCAAGAATAACCCCATTTTTAGTTGCTATTTCCTATCTGCAATAAGAAGCTTTTGTGCATATTTTGAAAACTTTGCCTAAAATTAAAATGTACCCAAATTGAAACCAGTGTTTATAGTGTAATACATATCTCTTTTTAGCATTACAATGAAAATGCTTTTTTACACATGCCTGAAATTTCAACAGCTACTACGGTATTTTCCCTATCTTCCTTAAAAAAAATTATCATTCAAAATAATTCCAATTTATTTTGGGTATGAATAGAGATTTTCAATTTAGAAAATGAGTAATTTTATTGTTACGACTGTTATAGCCCCATGAAAACTATATTTTGCCAATTTCTATTGGCCTGTGTCATTTTATCACATTTAAAATCTATAATCACACTAGCAAATATAATTTTGCCTGACTTTTTAGACAGTCTCTAAACTTAAAAGTTTTCCAACAGTATGACACACAACTTTAGGGGCACATGCAGCATATGCTTTTATTGCATGTAAGTCCTTGGACTTTTATATTTATTTCATGTATTTTAAATATTTCTTGAAATCAAGAGCGTTAATATTATTAGTAACAAACATCTGTGGTCATTTTCTTCCATTTGTCACATAGCTAATACAGAGTATATAGTATTACTTTTGAGTGGCCTTATGTAACATCTCCTTTCTAAATTCCTGAAAGTAAGTTACGACCAGAATTACATACTAAAAAGAGTCAAAGAATACATTACCTACTTCTATAAATGGATAATTTTATAGTAATCTAAATAAAAATGAGACCAGAATAAATATTTTTCTAGCCTTCTCTGGAATGCTAAGCAGTGTTGGGGAGGGAGTTAATAAGAAAGAGAGTTAAAAGTAAACAGTGCTTGTAGTTTAACAGTTGTCTCTTAGGGCACTGTTTTATGAAGATCTTTCAGAAAAGAAATTTTCTTCAGATTGCTTATGCTGTGTAAATATTACCTCAGATAAGGGCCACATTTTGGGTAAATAAGTCTGCATAAACATAAGACTGCTTTATGTTGGTATCCTTAGTTTTTCTGTATTAATTCAAAATTCAAACCACAATTCCCCATAACACACTCTATAAAATGGTATTCATGACTTCATACAGCGAGGATGATGTTTTCCTTTATAAATGCCACATTAAATCTGTATATTTTTAAATGGAAAAATTGTGAGAATACCAACATAACAACAGGTTGCCCTCCATCCTCTGTCCAATAAATTCTAACTTTACGTTTTTACTATCTGACAGAAATACTTTACAGTCTTGAGGGGGGGAAAGACTGCCTTTTTTCTTGTACATTGTCTGTGTGACTTTCTGTTGAGAATGTATTATGTATCAAGGACATTAAAATTTATATCTGCATAGGACAAGTTTAGAGAGTATATTTTCTCCAAAAATAATACTAGGAAAACTTAAAAGAGAATTTTACCACATAGAAAGAAAACATGAAAATAAACTTTTGAAATATATGTGTAATTACCAAAAATATGCTGGAAACAACTAATCTTCTGCTGGAAAAAAAACAAATAACAATAAATTATATCTATTTTAAATTGACTCTGAATGTTATAGTCACGAACAAGAGTTTAGCAAACCTAGAAGGTTAAATCTTGATTTATATATGTTTTTATGTTAAAATATGTTTTTCAATTACCAAAATTAGTAACTGTTACCAAAATATAGGAATTCATTTACATAGCTATAAAAATATTACATTTAACTTAATATTGAAGTATTAAAAACAGTAGATAATCATGCTCAGACTTATTAAGAGGAAGAAAACCCTTTGTTGCCATTACATAGTTGACAACAAAATATCAGTGGAAGATTTTCTTCTTAAATAAAGCTAAGGAGAGCAAATAGCTAATATTGCAACTCTTATCTAGTCTCAGGTTATATTGGTAGTAGCTCCTTAAGCTGACTGACTTATACTCTGAAATACATTTATTTAAAAAGGACTGGGCCCTCTGTTGAATATACAATTCAATTTTAGTTTCGACTTCATTAGCTGAGGTAAATTATCACATTGGCATCCCATAATATCATTTCACTTTACTTAGAAGTCTTCTAGATCTTTCCATTCCATATAGTTAGTTCTGTCTCTCCTCTTTTCTTTTTTTTATAATTATTTTGGATGAACATTTGGGGAGGTAGAAATATTTCATACGCACACATTATATCCTATACACATTTAAGAGACTAAGTGTCTGGCTTTCTGGCTCCCAAGATGATATCTAGAAAAATTAATAGAAATTAAATCTATGCCCTACCCAGTAGACTATTAGAAGCTCTTTCCTACCGCTGTGTCCTACATAAAACACCTCATACTCCAGACTGTGAGGTCTGAAAACACAGAAAAGCAAAAACCGTGTTCAGCAATGAAAAGAACATGATTTGTCACGTGGCAGGGATTTCCCCACTGACCAATTAAAATAAGAAGCCCCATCTTCTCTTCTTTAACTAGAGGATAGTCATAACAAAGGATTTTTTTTAGTAGGCGATAAAATAGAGAGAAACTGATGAGCATCTTCAAGGCTTCTCAGGGACATTAAACATCCCCCTAACAAAGACTAGAGAGAAGAAACACACTGGTATGCTTCATGTTCTTTTGGAATATTTGGGTATCTTAGAGAGACACTAACAATTTTGTCCTATGAGATCACAGTAAAAAACTATATATTCAGCCATTTCAAACTCACTTTAGAAAAGAAAAAAGTATACAAAATGCATAGCTGATTATAGCTGTCATTTCTATTCTTTTGTATATATCACATGACACCAATGTCAAAAATTAATTATAAAAGTAGTTACAAGTAGTTACTTTTATAATTATACAGCTAAAAATGAATATAAGTTATATTTTTACTCATGGTTTTGGTGTTGTCAAAGCTCATATTTCAGCATAATCCTTTATTTGCTGTTGAGTTGTGGAGTTTATTTGGTTTTTAAGTGCAATTTATTTTTTCTTTATTTGTACATTAATTATTGAAAAAAACAAGAAGAATATTAAATAAAACCAACATACATGGAGATATATCCTGTAGTAGAATGCTTTCTTTGGCTTTCATGATTAAAATGTTAATGAAGTGGACAAGCAGTTCTTTAATAATATGAAGCAATAAACATAAGGGAAGAAGAAGGTAAAAAAATAAAATGATGTGACTCACCCATGTCAAATATTGCATACCCATCACCAAATCTAAAAACTATTCACGTAGGTATATTGTAGTCCATGTCTTTAACATCAATTACAACCCCCCCTTTCCTCAAGATTAGCCACAGGACAAATTAGAAGCTGCTCTGTGGATGCTGCTTCTCTTTAAAAACTGGTTTCCCTGAATCAATAATACTGAACTTGACCTAGTTAGAAAGTATGTTCACAGAAATAACCCTCAGTCTTCACCTGTTAAAAGTGAAGATTTATTGCTTGGGTGGCTGAGGCTAGAAGATCATTTGAGCCTAGGAGCTGGAGGATACAGTGCACTATGATCCCCCACCTGTGAATAGCCACTGCACTCCAGCCTGGGCAATATAACAAGACCCCATCTCTTAAAAAAAAAAAAAGTTTTTAATTAAAAAGTGAAGGTTTATTGACATTGTGACAACATGGATAATACAGATTAAGTCAGCAAACCATAAAGATTTTCCAGTGTGCCTAATGTCTAAAATTATAATTTAGTTATCATTTAGTAGTTCCATTAAATTATTTTCTATACAGGTAATCACGTATTTGATTTCTTTTCCAATATAGGCAATTTTAAACTCAGAGAGCTGGAACTAATAAAACCTAGGGAATGGAAATCTAAATTATAAACCATTCTTTTACAGATTCCATGATTAACCTTTGAAAAAATTAAGCCCAACCTCCAAACACAGACTATATAAAAATTATTTATAATTTGCAGGTATTAGTGGCTTAATACAGCATATATTTGCTATCAGCTTTTGCATTTTAAAAGAAAAATTAAAGACAAAAATCTTAATACAAAGTAATAAACTACTAATCATAAAATTCTCTCCTATATTCTTTTAGAACACAATGAAAGGAAATTATTTGCTTTTTATGAGAAACTGATATACTTTCTCTCCATAGATGATGAAAATAACTTTCTTTGACTACCAAGAAATATATAATCAAATTTGTAGACCACTTTTAATTTTTTAAAAAAATCCTGGATCTGTATTTTTTACCTTCCTGACCTCTTACTATAATTTATCTTTTCTCTGGTCCTGAATCTCTGTAAGCTGACTTGCTTTCAGGGGAATGACACTGTGCACATAATACAGCATCACCTGGGTCTTCCAAGATTTGGTCTCCACCATCACCTCACCACCACCCTGTCCCACCTGTCCACAAACAGTTTGGAAGTTTCCTCTTTTCAGCTTTCCTCTTTCCAAACTTAAGCTTCCGTATGTACAATGTAGCTCTCTCCTACTTAAAGAAAAATAAATTCAGAGTGATCCTCCTAAAGTTGTGAAATAAGATCAGTCTGTAGTTTTTCCATCTGTCCTCCGTTGAGTCCTCCTGGTCAGGCTCCCAGGACCTCCAACATGTGAGATTTGTGCCTCTACTTGACCCTTGGCATCGAACCAAGCCAAATTCCTCTTCAGATGTAGATGGGCAATGTTTTCTAATTTACACAGGGCTTGTACCTTACCCCATTTACTCAAATAAATAATAACACTTAAATTTTCTACATTACATGCACACGTTTCTCAAAAAAATTATCTACGGAATTTATCTTAATTGTATTTATTTTAAATATTTCTGGGAAAGCATTCCTAGGGAAGACTTCTTAGTTCCATTTATTGTCAAAGAGGAAATGGAGTGGGGCCTTTTATTTTTTGTGTGTGTTAAATATAGAGTATTAATTGGTATAAATATTCCGGGTAGAATTTCTAAATAAATTCAAAACATGCTTTGTTTTTAGAAAAGATACATATTAATGCCCTAAACCTAAACTAAAACTAAACCAGATGAAATGCTGTGTCTTAACGCAAGTCAGGCACCATTTACTTGCCTCCCAAAGTTTCCAGTCAATCTACCTTCAAGTTGCACAGTGCTTTCCATTCAGCAGGAATGGCTGCTGTTCTAAATGCTGAAGATTTTTATTTTCTCATTTATATCCTTTTAACAAGTAATTAATGGGTTTAAATACCTTCCTGCATGATTACAATTTTCTCTTATTAGCTTTTAGCTGTGTGTGATATTCAACATCCATTCCTCTTTGTTTTTAGAAAGTACTTTTTAAAAATCTGAAGTTTAAACACAGGGTATAAAATTTCTATTTGTTTTATATTTCCATAACATCAAATAATAATCTCTCTAAACTTATATTTTGAAATACAAAATACTTCCTTCTTCCTCTGGATCAACAAAATGGGTTTAATTAATCTTATGCCCTTATTTAAGGTTTTAGGAAATAATAATCGCCATTCTTTAGCAGGCAAAAATTATGGATACAGTAGTTACAATAAATTAACTCAAATGATCTCACAAATGAAAAAATTTTCCCGGTTAAGAGTGTAAAAACTCTACTGTCCTAAATTGTCTCCCAGTCACACTACTGTTACTTAAACAACATATCTCAGTAAAAGTACAGACGTCATTTCACATTTGTCAACTCACTAATTTAATAACCACATGAAAAGGCAATAGAATTATAAAACATGTCATTTTTCCAATACTCTAATGAAATTTTTCATGTATATGAAAATTCACTTACTTGATTATGCATTTTCATTACTATTACTTTGAAAATTTATCAAAACAAAAGGAGTTGTATCGTAGCCAAAAAGACTTTTTAAATATAAAATTTGGTCTAAGTAAGATAATATTTTATAATAACATGAACTACGAAACTACAACTATATATATGAAAAAATATTGATTTTGGTAAAAACTTTCCAGCTTGATCCAAAAAATTTTTTATTTTTAAAACAATCTATATCTAGTTACTTATCAACTGATTTCCAGTTGTTCAACTGACTATAAACTGCTTTTTGTTTACAAAAATAAATTATGGTAACAATTTAAGTACTAAAATATTTGAGGTTTTTCTTTAAGGTTAATGTAAATTTAGTGCTGACATTTTAAAAATTACTATTAAGATGGCCATTGATTACAATGATTAGTGAATATAATCAAAATCATGAAACCAAATTATTTAAGTGGACAAGCTGCTGAAGCAATCATATTCATTTAGAGGTGAGAAAGTGCAAGTTGTCTTTTTAACTGAAATCACAGTAAAATCAAGAAAAAAAAGAAACTCCCATTCACATTCTAAGTAAAATTACATGACCAAAAAAAGTTATTTGCATATATAAAAATGCTTTCAAACTAAGGTGGATGTGTGCATAGAAATCCCTATGAAGAACCCAGATTTTGTTTCTGGGAAAAGTTAGCACATTCTCCTGGCAAATCTTTCAGAGTCTATCATTAAATTACCAGCTATAGAGAAGGCTTTTACCAAGATAGCTAAATTTCTAGTTGATAACTTTAAGATTTGTTTAAAAAAATAACTTCAGTATTGCAAATAATAAGAATTAATTTTTCTTTCTACAGACTAAAAGGTTTTGTTATACTCCCAAATCTGTGCCATCTTCTGCCTGACACACTATTTAGAGCTGCTCTTTTGTGTTAGTTGTTTTTCAAACTTCACTAGATGATCTCAGGAACCTCTAGGGATTTAAATCATCATGAACAAATGATAGCGTCAGACTGATACGCTATTAAAGCAAAAGATAACTTACATTCGTAACACTAGTTATAAATAATAATAGGACATTAGAGAGTTTTATTAGAAGAAAAATTGCCTGAAAAACTTCCTCCTATTAGGTTAACCTTCTAGAATTTCTCAAACAAACCAAATTATTTCTGCAAAATCAAAGTCAATACCTGAGTCTGTTTATAAAAATCACCAATTCACAATGCAACTATTTTTTTCTTTTCATTTAACATTTTTAAATGATTTCTTGTCTTCTTTTGTGTTTTAGCTGAATTTGTGTGCAGCACATTGTTGCTCCAGCTTAAAAACCTCCTGTGTGGTAAATGCTTGGCAGCCCTGGGGAAGGCAATGAACACGGTGAAATTCAGTGCAGTGTGGTAAGACAAGGAGAGCATGAATAATATTTGGAGATCTAGCACACCTTAGTGGAAACAATTATTATTACAACTGCTTTGAAGACATTTGAATTTTAAACTCCATTGTTTGTGAAATTCTATTTTGACTAAATAGAGGGACTTTGTTCAGGCTTTTGTTGTCTTTAGCATGATGTGTTTCTTTCCTAAACTCCACACAGATAAGAAGATAAATTTGATCATGAATTTCTAAAAGTAGAAATCATAGGTTTTTTAGAATTAGCATAAAATTATTGTACAACCCTCCATGGGCTATCAAATTGGGAGCAATCCAATTTTATTTGCCATCATGGTCACATATAAAGTGTCAGATTATTCTTGTTAGATGATTATTGTACATTTAACTTAGAAAAGCTTCTCAGGTCTGCTCCTGAGATGCTTGAAAGACTTTTGGTTTAAATAGGTTGCATATGTTCTGCTGTTAATGGCTGACCGTTTTTATTTCATATTACTAAAATGTAATCAAGAAAAAGAGAGTAGAAAATACATCGCAAATATTCAGTCTACTATCTAGACAATTTCAAAAGCTTTCAATTTTATCTCCTGTTCCATTATCTTCAATTGTAGAGTTTGGATAGGAAAAGAATTCAAAAATAAATACAAAACATTCATTCCAATACATGAAGAAAATTAGCCCTGTTCATGTACATTTTCTAATATGGATATGTTTCTAAAAATCAGAATATAATATTTATGGAGTCATTAGTAAAATGCACTTGATTATCTAAGAATCTCAACTGCTTGATGCTTGATCAAAAACTAGGTAGAAACTAAATCATGCCTATCAACAATTAAATATTTCTGAAAAGGGGACTTCCAAAATGGTAGAATAAGAAGCTCAGCAAATACTTTCCCTAAAAAGTGACAACAGGGGTGGAGCCAAGATGGCTGAATAGGAATAGCTCCAGTCTATAGCTCCCAGTGTGAGCGACACAGAAGATGGGTGATTTCTGCATTTCCAACTGAGGTACTGGGTTCATCTCACTGGGGAGTGTCAGACAGTGGGTGCAGGACAATGGAAGCAGTGCACTGAGTGTGAGCCAAAGCAGGGCAAGGCATCACCTCACCCGGGAAGCACAAGGGGTCAGAGAATTCCCTTTCCTAGTCAAAGAAAGGGGTGACAGATGGCACCTGGAAAATCAGGTCACTCCCACCCTAATACCGCACCTTTCCAATGGTCTTAGCAAATGGCACACCAGGAGATTATATCCCACGCATGGCTTGGAGGGTCCTATGCCCATGGAGCCTCACTCATTGCTAGCACAGCAGGCTGAGATCAAACTGCAAGGTGGCAGTGAGGCTGGGGGAGGGGAGCCCACCATTGCTGAGGCTTGAGTAAGTAAACAAAGTGGCTGGAAAGCTCGAACTGGGTGGAGCCCACCGCAGCTCAAGCAGGCCTGCCTGCCTCTGTAGACTCCACCTCTGGGGGCAGGGCATAGCCAAACAAAAGGCAGCAGAAACCTCTGCAGACCTTAATGTCCCTGTCTGACAGCTTTGAAGAGAGTAGTGGTTCTCCCAGCACACAGCTGGAGATCTGAGAATGGACAGACTGCCTCCTCAAGTGGGTCCCTGACCCCCAAGTAGCCTAACTGGGAGGCATCCCCCAGTAGGGGCAGACTGACACCTCACACGGCCAGGTACTCCTCTGAGACAAAACTGCCAGAGGAACGATCAGGCAGCAACATTTGCTGCTCAGCAATATCCACTGTTCTGCACCCTCTGCTGCTGATACCCAGGCAAACAGGGTCTGGAGTGTACCTCCAGCAAACTCCAACAGACCTGCAACTGAGGGTCATGACTGTTAGAAGGAAAACTAACAAACAGAAAGAACATCCACACCAAAACCCCATCTGTACATCACCATTATCAAAGACCAAAGGTAGATAAAACCACAAAGATGGGGAAAAAACAGAGTAGAAAAACTGGAAACTCTAAAAATCAGAGTGCCTCTCCTCCTCCAAAGGAATGCAGCACCTCACCAGCAATGGAACAAAGCTGTACGGAGAATGACATTGACGAGTTGAGAGAAGAAGGCTTCAGACGATCAAACTACTCTGAGCTAAAGGAGGAAGTTTGAACCCATGGCAAAGAAGTTAAAAACCTTGAAAAAAAATTAGATGAATGGCTAACTAGAATCACCAATGCACAGAAGTCCTTAAAGGACCTGATGGAGCTGAAAACCAAGACACAAGCACAAGCCTCAGTAGCCGATTCAATCAACTGGAAGAAAGAGTATCAGTGATGGAAGATCAAATCAATGAAATGAAGCAAGAAGAGAAGTTTAGAGAACAAAGAATAAAAAGAAATGAACAAAGCCTCCAAGAAATATGGGACTATGTGAAAAGACCAAATCTACGTCTGATTGGTGTACCTGAAAGTGACAGGGAGCATGGAACCAAGTTGGGAAACACTCTTCAGGATATTATCCAGGAGAACTTCCCCAATCTAGCATCGTGGCCAACATTCAAATTCAGGAAATATGGTGAACACCACAAAGATACTTCTTGAGAAGAGCAACTCCAAGACACATAATTGTCAGATTCAACATATTTGAAATGAAGAAAAAAATGTTAAGGGCAGCCAGAGAGAAAGGTCGGGTTACCCACAAAGGGAAGCCCATCAGACTAACAGCTTATCTCTCAGCAGAAACTCTACAAGCCAGAAGAGAGTGGGGGCCAATATTCAACATTCTTAAAGAATTTTCAACCCAGAATTTCATATCCAGCCAAACTAAGCTTCATAAGTGAAGGAGAAATAAAATCCTTTACAGACAAGCAAATGCTGAGAGATTTTGTCACCACCAGGCCTGCTCTAAAAGAAAAGTTTTAGAAGGAAGCACTGGAATTTCATGTCCAGCCAAACTAAGCTTCATAAGTGAAAGGGAAATAAAATCCTTTACAGACAAGCAAATGCTGAGAGATTTTGTCACCACCAGGCCTGCCCTAAAAGAAAAGTTCCTGAAGGAAGCACTAAACATGGAAAGGAACAACCGGTACCAGCCACTGCAAAAACATGCCAAATTTTAAAGACCATCAAGACTAGGAAGAAACTGCATCAACCAATGAGCAAAATAACCAGCTAACATCATAATGACAGGATCAAATTCACATATAACAATATTAACTTTAAATGTAAATGGGCTAAATGCCCCAGTTGAAAGACACAGACTGGCAAATTGGATAAAGAGTCAAGACCCATCAGTGTGCTGTATTCAGGAAACCCATCTCATGTGCAGAGACACACATAGGCTCAAAATAAAAGGATGGAGGAAGATCTACCAGGCAAATGGAAAACAAAAAATGCAGGGGTTGCATATCCTAGTCTGATAAAACAGACATCAAACCAACAAAGATCAAAAGAGACAAAGAAGGCCATTAAATAACGGTAAAGGGATCAATTCAACAAGAAGAGCTAACTATCCTAAATATATATGCACCCAATACAGGAGTACCCAGATTCATAAAGCAAGTCCTTAGAGACCGACAAAGAGGCTTAGACTCCCACACAATAATAATGGGAGACTTTAACACCCCACTGTCAACATTAGACAGATCAACAAGAGAGAAAGTTAACAAGGATATCCAGGAATTGAACTCAGCTCTGCACCAAGCGGACCTAATAGACATGTACAGAACTCTCCACCCCAAATCAACAGAATATACATTCTTCTCAGCACCACACTGCACTTATCCTCCAAAATTGACCACATAGTTGGAAGTAAAGAACTCCTCGGCAAATGTAAAAGAACAGAAATTATAACAAACTGCCTCTCAGACCACAATGCAATCAAACTAGAACTCAGGATTAAGAAACTCACTCAAAACTGCTCAACTACATGGAAACTGAAAAACCTGCTCCTTAATCACTACTGGGTACACAACGAAATGAAGGCAGAAATAAAGATGTTCTTCAAAACCAACAAGAACAAAGACACAACATACCAGAATCTCTGGGACACATTCAAAGCAGTGTGTAGAGAGAAATTTATAGCACTAAATGCCCACAAGAGAAAGCAGGAAAGATCTAAAATTGACACCCTAACATCACAATTAAAAGAACTAGAGAAGCAAGAGCAAACACATTCAAAAGCTAGCAGAAGGCAAGAAATAACTAAGATCAGAGCAGAACTGAAGGAAATAGAGACACAAAAACCCTTCAAAAAATCGAAGAATCCAGGAGCTGGTTTTTCGGAAAGATCAACAAAATTGCTAGACTGCTAGCACGACTAATAAAGAAGAAAAGAGAGAAGAATCAAATAGACGCAATAAAAAATGATAAAGTGGATCTTACCACCAATCCCACAGAAATACAAACTACCATCAGAGAACACTATAAACACCTCTATGCAAATAAACTAGAAAATCTGGAAGAAATGGATAAATTCCTGGAAACATACACCCTCTCAAGACTAAACCAGGAAGAAGTTGAATCTCTGAATAGACCAATAACAGGCTCTGAAATTGAGGTAATAATTAATAGCTTATCAACCAAAAAAAGTCCAGGACCAGATGGATTCACAGCCGAATTCTACCAGAGGCACAAGAAGGAGCTAGTACCATTCCTTCTGAAACTATTGCAATCAATAGAAAAAGAGGAAATCCTCCCTAACTCATTTTATGAGGCCAGCATCATCCTGATACCAAAGCCTGGCAGAGACACAATAAAAAAATAGAATTTTAGACCAATATCCCTGATGAACATTGATGCAAAAATCCTCAATAAAATACTGGCAAACCGAATCCAGCAGCACATCAAGAAGCTTATCCACCATGATCAAGTGGGCTTCATCCCTGGAATGGAAGGCTGGTTCAACACATGCAAATCAATAAATGTGATCCAGCAGATAAACGGAACCAATGACAAAAACCACATGATTATCTCAATAGATGCAGAAAAGGCCTTTGACAAAATTCAACAATGCTTCATGCTAAAAACTCTCAATAAATTAGGTATTGATGGGATGTATCACAAAATAATAAGAGCTATCTATGACAAACCCACAGCCAATATCATACTGAATGGGCAAAAACTGGAAACATTCCCTTTGAAAACTGGCACAAGACAGGGGTGCCCTCTCTCACCACTCCTATTCAACATAGTGTTGGAAGTTCTGGTCAGGGCAATCAGGCAGGAGAAGGAAAAAAAGTATTCAATTAGGAAAAGGGGAAGTCAAATTGTCCCTGTTTGCAGATGACATAATTGTATATCTAGAAAATCCCATTGTCTCAGCCCAAAATCTCCTTAAGCTGATAGACAACATCAGCAAAGTCTCAGGATACAAAATCAATGTGCAAAGATCACAAGCATTCTTATACACAAATAACAGACAAACAGAGAGCCAAATCATGAGTAAACTCCCATTCACAATTGCTTCAAAGAGAATAAAATACCTAGGAATCCAACTTCCAAGGGATGTGAAGGACCCCTTCAAGGAGAACTACAAACCACTGCTCAATGAAATAAAAGAGGATACAAACAAATGGAAGAACATTCCATGCTCATGGGTAGGAAAAATAAATATCATGAAAATGACCATACTTACCAAGGTAATTTACAGATTCAATGCCATCCCCATCAAGCTACCAATGATTTTCTTCACAGAATTGGAAAAAACTACTTAAAAGTTCATATGGAACCAAAAAAGAGCCCTCATTGCCAAGTCAATCCTAAGCCAAAAGAACAAAGCTGGAGGCATCACGCTACCTGACTTCAAACTATACTACAAGGCTACAGTAAACAAAACAGCATGGTACTGGTACCAAAACAGAGATATAGACTAATGGAACAGAACAGAGGCCTCAGAAATAATGCCACATATCTACAACTATCTGATCTTTGACAAACCTGACAAAAAGAAGAAATGGGGAAAGTATTCCCTATTTAATAAATTGTGCTGGGAAAACTGGCTAGCCATATGTAGAAAGCTGAAACTGGATCCCTTCCTTACGCCTTATACAAAAATTAATTCAAGATGGATTAAAGACTTACATGTTACACCTAAAATCATAAAAATCCTAGAAGAAAATCTAGGCAATACCATTCAGGACATAGGCATGGGCAAGTACTTCATGTCTAAGACACCAAAAGCAATGGCAACAAAAGCCAAAATTGACAAATGGGATCTAATTAAACTAAAGAGCTTCTGCACAGCAAAAGAAACTACCATCAGAGTGAACAGGCAACCTACAGAATGGGAGAAAATTTTCGCAACCTACTCATCTGACAAAGGGCTAATATCCAGAATCTACAATGAACTCAAACAAATTTACAAGAAATAAACAATCCCATCAAAAAGTGGGTGAAGGATATGAACAGACATTCCTCAAAAGAAGACATTTGTGCAGCCAAAAGACACCTGAAAAAATATTCATCATCACTGGCCATCAGAGAAATGCAAATCAAAATCACAATGAGATACCATCTCACACCAGTTAGAATGGCGATCTTTAAAAAGTCAGGAAACAACAGGTGCTGGAGAGGATGTGGAGAAATAGGAACACTTTTACACTGTTGGTGGGACTGTAAACTAGTTCAACCATTGTGGAAGTCAGTGTGGCAATTCCTCAGGGATCTAGAACTAGAAATACCATTTGACCCAGCCATCTCATTACTGGGTATATACCCGAAGGATTATAAATCATGCTGCTATAGAGACACATGCACACGTAGGTTTATTGCGGCACTATTCACAATAGCAAAGACTTGGAACCAACCCAAATGTCCAACGATGATAGACTGGATTAAGAAAATGTGGCACATACACACCATGGAATACTATGCAGCCATAAAAAATGATGAGTTCATGTCCTTTGTAGGGACATGGGTGAAGCTGGAAACCATCATTCTCAGCAAACTATCGCAACGACAAAAAACCAAACACCACATGTTCTCACTCATAGGTGGGAATTGAACAATGAGAACACGTGGACACAGGAAGGGGAACATCACACAGCAGGACCTGTTGTGGGGTGGGGGGAGGGGGAAGGGATAGCATTAGGAGATATACCTAATGTTAAATGAGGAGTTAATGGATGCAGCACACCAGCATGGCACATGTATACATATGTAACAAACCTGCACATTGTGCAAATGTACCCTATAACTTAAAGTATAATTTTTAAAAAGTGACCACAAATCTAAAGAAAATTGTCAAAAACAACTATTTGAAGACTCCATAAATTGTCCAAAATCATGCAACAAATTGAGATGAATTTATTCAGGAAAAGCCTCCAGGAAGGACAGTGGGAGTCTGGGGCATTTATATCGGGAGCTGCTCCCTTCCCCCACTACCTTCCAGCTTTGTTAGCATGGTAGATACTTGAAGGTAGGACAAGCTGTGAAAAATAGCAGCTTTGCTGTTGGAGGGGGGATCACTTAGTTTGAAGTGGAGCACCAAGCAACTCTATGTCCGGGGGCATTATTGAAAATAGTCGCAATCTCTGTGGCAAACAAATAGGGAAGGTCAACCACATAGCTATCCTAAGCTTGAGGTCCTAGCCAGAGCAAGCAACAAAGTGGCAAACTAGCTAGAAAATGAACAAGAAGAGTGGGGAATGAGATGATATTATTGGGACTTGATAAGTTCCTCTCTGTCTCTGGAAATTTGGAAGGCTGCACAGATGCACATGTGTAGGAGAAACCAGAAAGGGCCCTAGCC
Organism: Homo sapiens; assembly: GCF_000001405.40. Lineage (NCBI taxonomy): Eukaryota > Metazoa > Chordata > Mammalia > Primates > Hominidae > Homo > Homo sapiens. The sequence goes on from NT_187628.1 coordinate 134,404, forward strand.
ATCCATTCATCCCTGACTGAATATGAAATCTTGTGAATGCACAGAAGAAATGTGAGAGGTCCTAAAAGAAAGCAAAAGCTGAAACTGACTTGTGAACTGCCTGAATTTTGAATATGTTCCCAAACATACAGTCAAGTCAATGCAAAGAGGGTGAAAATATTACTGGGTCAAGGTAGTTGAGCATGTTTCCTGAACAATCATTGGCTAACCACTAAGCTATGCTGTCACAAGGGTGAACCCCTAAGAGGCTACCGTTAAGAATGCTAAAAAGATTATTTAAAAAAAAAAAGAAAAGAAAAACTGAGTAGAAACATCAGAGAATGCATTCTGTCAAAAAAAAGAAAAAGAAAAAAGAAAGAAAGAAAGAAAGAAAACGAAAAAAGACTCCACATGTTTGGTCCTGGAAAATTACTAAACACAGACACCAGCAACAACAATCTACAACAACAAAAAAAATCAGAATCCAGAGTTGCAACAATACATTATGTGTAACTAGACATATGCCTAGTTATAAGAACAAAAAAAATACAGACATGTAAAGAAACAAGAAAAGGTGCCCCAAACAAATGGGGTGAAAAGGCAGTCAGGAAGAGAGGCAGAGTAAGATGGCAGAATAGAAAGTTCCACCAACTGTTCCCCCATAAGGACACCAATTTAACTATCGACACAGAAGGAAAAAAATACCTTTATAAGAACCAAAAATCAGGTGAGCCCTCATAGTACTTGGTTTTAACTATGTAATGATGAAAAACACACTGAAGAGACAGAAAAAACAATCTTGAATCTCCAATGCCAGCCCCCCACACCACAACCCTGGGAGCAGTGGCATGGTGCAGACAGCATCTCTGGGTGCTGGGGAAGCACAGCAATTGTGAGGCATTGGCCTCAGTGCTGTCCTGTTAGAGCAGAAAGGGAAACTGGACCAAACTCAGCTGACACTCACCCAGGAAGGGAACATTTAACCAGCACTAGCCAGAGAGGAATTGCCAATCCCAGCGGTCCCAATTTGAGTTCCTGCAAACCTTGGCACTTAAGGCCAAAGTGCTCTGTGTCTCCAAATAAACTTGAAAGGTAGCCTAGGCCATAAGGACTGAAAGTCTTAGGTGAGTTCTAGGGCTTAACTGGGCCCAGAAGACGATGGACTTTGGGGGCACATGACGTACTGAGACATCAGCTGGGACAGCCAAGAGAGCGTTGACATCACCCCTTCTCTAACCCCAGGATGCACAGCTCACAGCTCGAAAATAGTCCCCATCCTTCCACTTGAAGAGAAGAGAGGAAGAGTGTGGGTGACTTTGTCTTGCATTTTGGATGCTAGCTCAGCCACAGCAGGATGGGGCACTAGTTAGAGTTGTAAGTCCTTTGATACAGGCCTTAGCTCCCAGACCACATTTCTAGACACGGCCTGAGCCAGAAAATAAATCCTCTGCCTTGAAGTCAAGAAACAAGTCCTGACAACATTTATCACCTAACTGAAGAACCGTTGGGCCCTGAACAACCAGATCTACACCCAGATACTGTCAAGGGCCTTGGGTGAGCCTCTGAGGCTTACTGGCTTTAGGTGAGATTCAACATATTACCAGCAGTGGTGGTGAAGGGATGAAATTCCTTCTACTTGAGAAAAGCAGAGGAAAAAGTAAAGGAGACTTTGTCTTGCACCTCAGGTACTAACTCAACCACGGCAGGGTAGAGCACCAAGCAGGCTCCTGGGGGTGTGGGGGGGGGGGGGTCCCCGATTTCAGCACTGGATTCTCGGACAGCATCTCTGGACCTGCCCTGGGCTGGAGGGGAGCTTCCTGCCCTAAAGGTTGAGTCCCAGGCCAGGGAAAATTCACAATAAGCTGACTTAACCCTTGAGCTTTAAGGAAATATCAGTGGTGTCTGGCAGAATGCTTGATGGGACTGTGGTGGGAGAGGCTTCTCTGCCTTTGGGAAAAAAAGGGAAGAGTGGGAAGCACTGTGTCTTGTGGTTTGAGTGCCACCTTAGGTGCAGTACAATAGAACACCAGGTAGACTTCTAAGCTTTTTGCCTCTAGACCCCAACTCCAAGGTGGCATCTCTGGACCCACCTTAGGCCTGGGGAAAGTCACCACCTTTAATGGAAGAACAGATGCCTGGCTGACTCTGCCACCTGCTGATTGTATAACCCCAGAACCTTGAGCAAACAAAGGCAGTACACAGGAAATGGATACAGGTGGCCTTGGGGGAGAACCAGTGTTGTGCTGGCTTCAGGTCTGACTCAGTGCAGTCATAGTGATGGTGGCTTGTGTCATTCCATCTCCAGCTTTAGACGGCTCAGAACAGGGAGACATACTCTGTTAGGAAGAAAGGGAAGAGAATAGGAGTCTCTGCCTGGTAATCCAGAGAATCCTGCTGAATCTTGTATAAGACCATTAAAGCAATATCTCTATGAGTCTGCAAGAACTACAGCATTACTGGCTTGGAATGCCCCCATAAAACAGATAAAGTTTAGATCATAACACCCAAGTCCTTTCAAATATTTTGAAAACCTGCCCAATAAGGAAGGGTACAAACAATTCCAGACTGAGAAGACTACAATGAATACATAACTCTTCAATACTCAGACACAGAGAAACCTCTGCAGGTATCAAGGCATTCCAGGAAAGCATGACATCACCAAATGAACTAAATAAGTCACCAGGAATGAATACTGGAGAAACAGAGATATGTGACCTTTTAGACACAGGATTCATAATGGCCTTTTTAAGGACACTCAAATAAATTCAAGATAACACAAAGAAGGAATTAAGAATTCTATCAGAAAAATTTAACAGAGATTAAAATAATTTGAAAGAATCAAGCAGAAGTTCTGGAGCTGAAAAATGCAATTGGCACACTGAAGAATGTACTAGAGTCCTTTAGTAGCAGAATTGATCAAGCAGAAAGAAGAATTAGTGAGCCTGAAGACAATTTATTTGAAAACACACAGGGGAGAAAAAAGGAAAAAAGAATGAACAATAAAGCACACCTACAGGAAGGAAAGAAAGAAGAATACACCACAAAAAAACCAGAAAACACATTTAAAAAATGGCAGAAGTAAGTCCTTACTTATCAATAATAACATTGAATGTAAGTGGATTAAATCCTTTAATCAAAAGACATAGACTGAATGAAAAAAAAGACTGAATGAATGAAAAAACAAGACCCATTGATCTGTTGCCATCAAGAAATACATTTCACCCATCAAGACACACATAGACTAAAAATAAAGGGATGGAAAAAGATATTTCATAGCTAAAAAAAAGAACATGAGTAGCTATAATTATCTTAGATAAAATAGATTTTGAGACAAAACTATAAGAGAAAAATGTCACTATACAATAATAAAGTGGCAAATTCAACAAGAGAATATAACAACTTTAAATATATATGTACCCAACATTAGAGAACCTATATGTATAAAGAAAATATTATTAGAGCTAAAGAGAGATGGGCCCCAATACAATAATAGCTGGAGATTTCAACACTCCACTTTCAGCATTGAACAGATCTTCCAGATACAAAATCAACAAAGAAACGTCATACTCAGTCTTCACTAAAGACCAAATGGGTCTAATAGATATTTACAGAACATTTCATTCAGTGGCTGCAGAATACACATTTTTTCTCAGCACATGAATTATTCTCAAAAAACAGGCCATATGTTAGGTCACAAAACAAGGTTTAAAACTCACAATGAAATAAAATTAGAAATTGATAACAAGAGGAATTTTGGAAACTGTACAAATACATGGATATAAACCAATGCATTCCTGAATGTCCAGTGAATCAATAAAGAAATCAAGAAAGAAACTAAAAAATGTCTTGAAACAGATGATAATGGAAACACAACATCCTAAACCTATGATCAGGGATACAGCAAAAGCAATATTAAGACTCTGTCTTTTGTAAATAGCCCAGTCTTGAGTATGTTTTTATTAGCAGAATGAAAATGGACTAATACAGTGAATTGCTGCTGGTAGAGTGGGGCATTGCTAAAAAGGTACCCAAAAATGTAGAAGCAAATTTGGAACTTGGTAACAGGAAGAGGTTGGAACAGTTTGGATGGCTCAGAAGAAGACTGGAAAATGTGGGAAAGTTTGGAACTTCCTACAGACTTGTTGAATGGCTTTGCCCAAAATGCTGATAGTGATATGGACAATAAAATCCAGGCTGAGGTGGTCCCAGATGAACAAGAGGAATTTGTTGGAAACTGGAGCAAAAGTGACTCATGTTACAGCAAAGAGACTGGTGGCATTTTGCTCCTACCCTAGAGATTTGAGAAACTTTGAACTTGAGAGAAATGATTTTGGGTATCTGGTAGAAGAAATGTCTAAGCAGAAAAGCATTTAAGAGGTGACTTGGGTGCTGTTAAAGGCATTCAGCTTTGTAAGGGAAGCAGAGCATATAAGTTCAGAAAATTTACAGCCTGACAATGTGATAGAAAAAAAAAGTCCTATTTTCTGAGGCGAAATTCAAGCCAGCTGCAGATATTTGCATAAGTAATGAGAATCTGAACGTTAATTCCCAAGACAATGGGGAAAATGTCTCCAGGGCATATCAGAGGTCTTCACAGCAGCCCTGGAAGCCAAGGAAGAAAAGATGACTTCATGGACCAGGCTAAGAGTCCCAGTGCTGGGTGCAGTCTAGGGACTTGGTGCCCTGCATCCCAGCTGCTCCAGCTGTGACTAAAAGGGGCCAAGCTACAGTTCAGGCCATGGCTTTAGAGGGTTGAAGCCCCATCTATTGGCAGCTTGCACATGGTGTTGAGTCTGTGGGTGCACAGGAGTCGAGAATTAAGGTTTGGAAACCTCCACCTATATTTCAGGAGATGTATGGAAATGCCTGGATGCCCAGGCAAAAGTTTGCTGCAGGGATGGGGTGCTCATGGGGGACCTCTGCTAGGGCAGAGCAGAAGGGAAATGTGGGGATGAAGCCCCCCACACAGAGTCCCCATTGGGGCACTGCCTAGTGGAGCTGTGAGAAGAGGTCCAACATCCTTCAGACCCCAGAATGGTAGATCCACCTACAGTTTGGTAGACCAAGCAGAAGAAAAGATATCAGAGCTTGAATACTACCTTGATGAGATAAGGCAGGCAGAGAAGATTAGAGGAAAAAGAAAGAAAAGGAGCAAACAAAACTGCTGAGAACTATCAGATTATGTTACAGGATGGAACCTACAACTAATAGGGGTACCTAAAAGAGATGGAGAAAACAGAACCAAGTTGGAAACACACTTTAGAGTCATCCAGGAGAACTTCCCCAACCTAGCAAGACAGGCCAACATTCAAATTCAGGAAATCCAGAGAACCTCAGTAAGATACACCATGAGAAAATCAATCTCAAGACACACAATCATCAGATTCTCTAAGGTCAAAATGGGAAAAAAAAAAAAAAAAAAGCAGTTACGTGCAGCCAGAGAGAAAGGCCAGGTCACTTATAAATGGAACCCCATCAGACTAACAGCAAAATTCCCACAAGCCAAAAGGGATTGGAGGCCAATATTCAACATTCTTAAAGAAAAGAATTTCCAGCCTAGAATTTCATGTCTGGTCTAAGTTTCATAAGCAAAGGAGAAATAAAATCTTTTTTAGACAAGCAAATGCTGAGGAAATTTATTAACACCAGGACTGCCTGGCTCCTGAAGGAAGCATTAAATATGGAAAAGAAAAATCTTTACCAGCCACTACAACAACACACTGAGGTACACAAACTAATGATACTATGAAGCAACTACAGAAACAAGTCTGCAAAATAACCAGCTAGCATCATGACGACAGGTTCCAACTCACACATAACAATATTTACCTTAAATGTAAATCGGCAAAATGCCCCAATTAAAAGACACAGAATGACAAGCTGGATAAAGAGTTAAGATCCATTGGTGTGCTGTATTCAAGAGACCCATCTCAAATGCAAACACACACATAGACTCAAAATAAAAGAATGGAGGAAAATTTACCAAGCAAATGGAAAACAGAAAAAAGCAGGGGTTGATATCCTAGTTTATGACAAAATAGACATTAAACCAACAAAGATCAAAAAAGACAAAGAAAAGAATTATATAATAAAACAGGTGTCAATTTAACAAGAAAAGCTAACTATCATAAATATATATGCCTCCAATACAGGAGCACCCAGATTCACAAAACAAGTTCTTAGAGACCTACAAAGAGATTTAGACTCCCACACAATAATAGTGGGTGACTTTAACACCCCACTGACAATATTATACAGAAAATTAACAATGATATTCAGGACTTGAACTCAGCTCTGGAACCAGTGGACCTGATAGATATCTACAGAACTCTCCACCCCAAAACAACAGAATATACATTATTTTTGGTGCCACATGGCACTTATTCTAAAATTGGTTACATAATTAACAGTAAATCATTCCTCAGCCAATGAAAAAGAACTAAAATCATAACAGTCTCTCAGACCACAGTGCAATCAAATTAGAACTCAAGATTAAGAAACTCACTCAAAACCACACAACTACATGGAAATTGAACAAACTGCTTTTGAATGACTTCTGGGTAAATAATGAAATTAAGGCAGAAATCAAGAAGTTCTTTGAAACCAATGAGAACAAAGAGACAATGTACCAGAATCTCTGGGATGCAACTAAGGCAGTGTTAAGAGGAAATATTATAGTACTAAATGCCTATATCAAAAAGCTAGAAAGATCTCAAATCAAAACTCTAACATAACAACTAAAACCAAGAGCAAAAAAAAACACCTCAAAGCTAGCAGAAGACAAGAAATAACCAAGCTCAGAGCATAACTGAATCAGATAGAGACATGAAAAACCCTTCAAAAGAAATCAATGAATACAGAAGCTGTTTTTTTGAAAAAAAAAAAAAGACATAGACTGCTAGCTAGACTAATAAAGAAGAAAAGAGAAGAATCAAATAAACACAATAAAAACTGATAAAGGGAACATTGCCACTGATCCACAGAAATACAAACAATCCTCACAGAATACTATAAACACCTCTATGCAAATAAGCTAGAAAATCTAGAAGAAATTTATAAATTCCTGGACATATACAACCTCCCAAGACTGAACCAGGAAGAAGTCGAATCCCTGAATAGACCAATAACATGTTCTGAAATTGAGGCAGTAATAAATAACCTATGAACCAAAAAAAGCCCAGGATCAGATGGATTTACAGCCGAATTTTACCAGAAGTACAAAGAGGACCTGACACCCTTTCTTCTGAAACTATTCCAAATAATTGAAAAGGAGAGACTCCTCCCTAACTGTTCTATGAGGCCAGAATCATCCTGATACCAAAACCTGGCAGAGACAAAACAAAAATAGAAAACTTCAGGCCAGTATCCCTAATGAACACTGATGCAAAAATTCTCAATAAAACACTGGTAAAGCAAATAAAGCAGTACATCAAAAAGCTTATCCAACATCATCAAGTTGGCTTCATCATTGGGATGCAAGACTGGTTCAGCATATGCAAATCAATAAAAAAAATTCATCACATAAACAGATCTAAAGACAAAAACCACATGATTATCTCAATAGATGCACAAAAAGCCTTTGGTAAAATTCAACATCCCTTCATGTTAAAAACTCTCAATAAACTAGGTATTAAAGGAACATACCTCAAAATAATGAGTCATTTATTACAAACCCACAGCCAATATCATACTGAATGGGCAAAACCTGGAAGCATTCCCCTTGGAAATCAGCACAAGACAAGTATGCCCTCTCTCACTACTCCTTTTCAACACAATATTGGAAGTTCTCACCAGGGCAATCGGGCAACAGAAAGAAATAAAAGTATTCAAATAGGAAGAGAGGAAGTCAAACTGTCTCTGTTTGCAGATGACATAATCCTATATCTAGAAAACCCCATCATCTCAGGCCAAAAGCTTCTTAAGCTGATAAGCAATGCCAGCAAAGTCTCAGGATACAAAATCAATGTGCAAAAGCACAAGCATTTCTATACACCAACAACAGGCAAGCAGAGAGCCAAATCATGAATGAACTTCCATTCACAATTGCTACAAAGAGAATAAAATACCTAGGAATAAAGCTAACAAGGGAATTGAAGGCCCTCCTCAAGAAGAACTACAAATGACTGCTCAAGGAAATCAGAAAGGACACAAGCAGATGGAAAAGCATTCCATGCTCATGGATAGAAGAATCAATATCATGGAAATGGCCATAGTACCCAAAATAATTTATAGATTCAATGCTATTCCCATTAAACTACCATTGATATTCTTCAGAGAATTCTTAGAAATTCTTAGAAAAAGCTATTTTAAAATTCATATGGAACCAGAAAAGAGTTCATATAGCCAAGAAAATCCTAAGCAAAAGGAACAAAGCTGGAGGCATCATGCTACCAGACTTCAAACTATACTACAAGGCTACAGTAACCAAAACGGCATGATATTGGTACAAAAACAGATATATAAACCAATGTGAAATAATAGAGAACTCAGAAGTAAGACCACACATATACAACCACCTGATCTTCAACAACCCCAACAAAAACAAGCAATGGGGAAAGGATTCCCTATTTAATAAATGGTGCTGGGAGAACTGGCTAGCCGTATGAATAAAATTGAAACTGTACCCCTTCCTTACACCTTATACAAAAATTAACTTAAGATGGGTTAAATATTTAAATATAAAACCCAAAGCTATAAAAGCACTACAAGAAAATCTAGGCAATACCATTCAGGACATAGGCACAGGCAAAGATTTCATGACAAAATCGCCAAAAGCAATTGTGACAAAAGCAAAAGTTGACAAATGGGATCTAATTAAACTAAAAGAGCTTCTGCACAGCAAATGAAACTATCATCTGAGTGAACAAGCAACCTAAAAAATGAGAGAAAATTTTTGAAATCTATCAATCTGGCAAAGGTCTAATTCCAGAATCTACAAGGAACTTAAACAAATTTACAAAAAACAAAAAAAACAACCCCATCAAAAAGTGGGCAAAGGACATGAACAGAAGCTTCTCAAAATAAGACATTCCTGCAGCCAACAAACATATGAAAAAAGGCTCAACATCACTGATCATTAGAGAAGTGCAAGTCAAAATACAATAATATACCATCTCACACCAAATAGATTGGCAATTATTAAAAAGTCAAGAAACCACAGATACTGGCAAGGTTGTAGAGAAATAGTGCAGACATAATCTGCACTGTAGACCAAATGCATCCAATAGATATTTACAAAACATTTTATCTAAGAGCTACAGAATACATAATTTTTTCCTCAGCATATAAATCAATCTCCAGAATAGACCATAGGTTAAGTCACAAAACAAATCTTAAAACATTTGAAATAATATCAAACATCTTCTCTAACCACAATGAAATAAAATTAGAAAATAATAGGAATGCTTTTACACTGTTGGTGGAAATGTAAGTTAGTTCAACCATTATGAAAGACTGTGCAGGGATTCCTCAAAGATCTAGAACCAGAAATACCATTTGACCCACCAATCCCATTACTGGGTATGTAACCCCAAATTATAAATCATTCTATTACAAAGATACATGCACACGTATATTGATTGCAGCACTATTCACAATAGCAGGGACATGGAATAACCCAAATGCCCAACAATGCTAGACTGGATTTAAAAAATATGGTACATATACACCATGGAGTATTATGCAGCCATAAAAGGAATGAGATCATGTTCTCTGCAAGGGCATGGATGAAGCTGGAAGCCATTATCCTCAGCAAAGTAACACAGGAAAAGAAAATCAAATGCCACATATTCCCACTCATAAGTGGGAGCTGAAAGATGAGAACACATGGACACAGGGAGGGGAATAACACACACTTGGGGGGCCTGTCATGTGGTGGGGTGGGGGGAAGGAGAGCATTAGAAAAAATTGTTAATGCATGCTGGGCTTAATACCTAGGTGATGGGTTGACAGATGCAGCAAGCCACCATGGCACACATTTACCTATGTAACAAACCTGCATATTCTGCACATGTACCCCCAGAACTTAAAATAAAAATAAAATTTGTTTAAAAAAAGATCATTACAGTCACATCTGGGGTATCTTTTCTGGAGAACAAAGAATAAAATTGTGATAACAATAAATTATCAAATAGCATCTGAGGTTGAAAACTGAAAATATAAAAAAGAAACAAATGCAAATTATGAAGTTGAAAAGTACAATAACTGAAATGAAAAACTGACTAGCATGAATCAAGAGTACATTTGAGATGATAGCAAAAGGAATAAGTAAAATTAAAAGTAGATCAATATAAATCATTTAATCTGAGTTTAAAGAGTTTGGGAGGAGAACTAAAAGAAGAAACAGATCTTCAGCCACACGGTACTTACGGGTATCAATTTCAAGATCCCCCATAGATACAAAAATCCATGGATGCCTAATACAATCTAAATGCTATGTAAATAGTTGTTAAACTCTATTGTTTAGGGAATGGTGACCAAAAAATGTCTGTATATGTTCAATACAGACACAAACGTCCTTTTTTCCCAAAAATTCTTGATCCAGTTAATTGATTCGTGGATGTGGAACTCACAGATTCAGTGGGCCAACTATATGTACAATAGAATATTATTCAGCACCCCCCAAAAAAAATTTTGCCATTTGCAACAACATGGATGAGCCTACAGGACATTATGCGAAGTGAAATAAGCCAGACACAAAAAGAAAAATACTGCATAATCTCATTTACATTTGAAATCCAAAGCTGAACTCATAGAAACATAGAGTAAAAAACTGATTGCAAGGAGCTGGTCAATGGCAGAAATAAAGATATTTTGGACAGAGGTTACAAAATTTGGTTATAAGATGAATAAGTTCTGGAGATCTAAAGTAAATCATTGTAACTATAGTTAATATTAATGTATTGTATACTTGAAATTGCTTAAAAAATAGATCTTACATGTTCTCACAATGAAAAACAATATTTATATAAGGTGATGAATATGTTAATTGTGGTAATCACATTACAATGTATACATATATCAAAATGTCACATTATTATACAAGGCTAAATATACACAATCTTTATTTGTCAATAATGACTATATTATATATATTAAAGTAACTAGGAATATAAAGACTCATTATGATAAATGGTATATACAAAAGCCCTTCAGCTAATATTATACTTAATAGTAAAACATTGAATGCTTTCTTCTTAATGGCGGGAACAAACAAATGATTTCCACTACTACTTCCTCTATTCAATAATATACTGGCAGTTACAGCCGATTCAATAAGGCAAAATAAGAAAAAAAGAAAAAGAAAAAAATTAAACCTTCTATAATGAAAATAAAGAAGTAAACCTGTCTTTATTTGCTGATGACATAATCCTGTTTGTGAAAATTCCTGAGGAATACACAAAAACTGCCAGAACTAATAAGTTCAGAAGGTGGCAGAATACACACAATATACAAAACTTTACTCTATTTTCTATACTAGTAAAAAAAAAAAAAAAAAAAATCTGGGCCAGGCATTGTGGCTCACACCTGTAATCTCAGCACTTTAGCAGGAGGCTGAGGGAGGAGGATCATTTGATGTCAGAAGTCTGAGATCTGCTGGAGCAACAAAGTGACACCCCATCTCTACAAAAAAATTTTAAAAGTTAGCCAGGCATAGTGGAATGTACCTGTAGCCCCAGCTACTCAGGAAGCTGAGTTTAGAAAAATGCTTGCACTCAGGAGTTGGAGGCTGCAGTGAGCCATAATTGTGCCACTGCACTTTTGTGCACTGCCTGCATCCTAACACCCCCTTACTGCAAATGCTAGCAAAGAGGCCAGCACCCTTGCAATTGCCAACACCCCACCACAGCCAGTGAGCGCATGCTTTGCTGTACTGCCATTGATGCTGGTATGTGTGAATGAGGATGGATTTTGCTGTCACCACTCTACAAACTGTTCTTTGTCTGGCAACACCCACCAGAGTGTTGTGACCAGCAGTCCAGGAATACCTTGCCCCTCCAGTGCAGCAGGTTCCTAACCCTGAGGGGCCAGAGGACAAAGCCAGGGACCCAATACCAGTCCTCCAGAGTTAGAGGACATGGTCCAGAAGTCTTGAGCAGAGTCTTGGCCCCCAAAAATCTTCCAGAAATGAAGCCAGTTTACTGAATCCACCTCACACTACAATCAAACCCCCAAGGACATCTAATAAAATAAAATGAGAAGAAAACCATCCAAAGGATAGCTACATCAAAGCTTCAAAGAACATCAGCCCACAAAGATGAGGAAGAACCAGCACAAGAACTCTGGCAACTCAAAAATCCAGAGTGTCTTCTTACCTCCAAATGATAACACTAGTTTCCTAACAATGGTTCTTAATCAGGCTGAGATGGCTGAAATGATAGAAATAGAATTCAGAATATGGACAGAAACAAAGATCATTGACATACAGGAGAAAGTGAAAACCCAATCCAAGGAATCTAAGGATTACAATAAAACAATATAGGAGGTGATAGATAAAATGGTCATTAAAAGAGAGAACCACACTGATCTGACAGAGCTGAAAAACACACTACAAGAATTTCATAATGCAATCACAAGTATTAACAGCAGAATTGACCAAACTGAGGAAAGAATATCAGGGCTTGAAGACTCTCTCTAAAACAACTCAGTCAGAGAAAAATTTTAAAAAAAATAAAGAATGAACAAAAGCTCTGAGAAATATGCCATTATGAAAAGAAACACATTCTACGATTCACTGGCGTTTGTGAAAGAAAGGAAGAGAAATTAACCAGCTTGGAAAACATTTTTCAGGATATTGTCCATAAAAATTTCCCCAACCACACTAGAGAAGCCAATATTCAAATTCAGAAAATTTAGAGAATCCCTGTGAAATACTAAACAAGAAGACCATCCCCAAGACATATAGTCATCAGATTCTCCAAGGTCAAAATGAAAGAAAACCTGACAAGAAAGCTAGAGAGAAAGTGCAGGCTGCCTACTGATATGGTTTGGCTGTGTTCCCACCCAAATCTCATCTTGAATTGTACTCCTATAATCCCTATATGTTGTGGGAGGGACCTGGTGGGAGATAATTGAATCACGAAGGCAGGTTTTCCCATGCTGTCCTCAAGACAGTGAATAAGTCTCACGAGATCTGATGGTTTTATAAATGGCAGTTCCCTGGCACATGCTGTCTTGCCTGCTGCCATGTAAGATGTGTCTTTTCTCCTCCTTCACCTTCTGCCATAATTGTGAGGTCTCCCCAGCCATGTGGAACTGTGAGTCCATTAAACCATTTTTTTAATAAATTATCCAGTCTTGGGCATTTCTTCATAACAGTATGAAAATGGACTAATACATCTACAAATAGAACCCTACCAGGCTAACAGCAGACCCGTTAGCAGAAACCCTACAAGCCAGAAGAGATGGGGGTTCTATATTCAGTATTCTTTTTTTTTTTTTTTTTAATTTATTTTTTTATTGATAATTCTTGGGTGTTTCTCACAGAGGGGGATTTGGCAGGGTCATGGGACAATAGTGGAGGGAAGGTCAGCAGATAAACAAGTGAACAAAGGTCTCTGGTTTTCCTAGGCAGAGGACCCTGCGGCCCTCCGCAGTGTTTGTGTCCCTGATTACTTGAGATTAGGGATTGGTGATGACTCTTCACGAGCATGCTGCCTTCAAGCATCTGTTTAACAAAGCACATCTTGCACCGCCCTTAATCCATTTAACCCTGAGTGGACACAGCACATGTTTCAGAGAGCACAGGGTTGGGGGTAAGGTCACAGATCAACAGGATCCCAAGGCAGAGGAATTTTTCTTAGTGCAGAACAAAATGAAAAGTCTCCCATGTCTACTTCTTTCTACACAGACACGGCAACCATCCGATTTCTCAATCTTTTCCCCACCTTTCCCGCCTTTCTATTCCACAAAGCCGCCATTGTCATCCTGGCCCGTTCTCAATGAGCTGTTGGGCACACCTCCCAGACGGGGTGGTGGCCGGGCAGAGGGGCTCCTCACTTCCCAGTAGGGGCGGCCGGGCAGAGGCGCCCCTCACCTCCCGGACGGGGCGGCTGGCCGGGCGGGGGGGCTGTCCCCCCCCACCTCCCTCCCGGACGGGGCGGCTGGCCGGGCGGGGGGCTGACACCCCCACCTCCCTCCCGGACGGGGTGGCTGCCGGGCGGAGATGCTCCTCACTTCCCAGATGGGGTGGCTGCCGGGCGGAGAGGCTCCTCACTTCTCAGACGGGGCAGCTGCCGGGCGGAGGGGCTCCTCACTTCTCAGACGGGGTGGTTGCCAGGCAGAGGGTCTCCTCACTTCTCAGACGGGGCGGCCGGGCAGAGACGCTCCTCACCTCCCAGACGGGGTCTCGGCCGGGCAGAGGCACTCCTCACATCCCAGATGGGGCGGCGGGGCAGAGGCGCTCCCCACATCTCAGACGATGGGCGGCCGGGCAGAGACGCTCCTCACTTCCTAGATGTGATGGCGGCTGGGAAGAGGCGCTCCTCACTTCCTAGATGGGATGGCGGCCGGGCGGAGACGCTCCTCACTTTCCAGACTGGGCAGCCAGGCAGAGGGGCTCCTCACATCCCAGACGATGGGCGGCCAGGCAGAGACGCTCCTCACTTCCCAGACGGGGTGGCGGCCGGGCAGAGGCTGCAATCTCGGCACTTTGGGAGGCCAAGGCAGGCGGCTGGGAGGTGTAGGTTGTAGTGAGCCGAGATCACGCCACTGCACTCCAGCCTGGGCACCATTGAGCACTGAGTGAACGAGACCCCGTCTGCAATCCCGGCACCTCGGGAGGCTGAGGTTGGCGGGATCACTCGCGGTTAGGGGCTGGAGACCGGCCCGGCCAACACAGCGAAACCCCGTCTCCACCAAAACCAGTCAGGCGTGGCAGCGCGTGCCTGCAATGGCAGGCACTCGGCAGGCTGAGGCAGGAGAATCAGGCAGGGAGGTTGCAGTGAGCCGAGATGGCAGCAGTACAGTCCAGCTTCGGCTCCGCATGAGAGGGAGACCGTGGGGAGAGGGAGACAGAGGGAGAGGGAGAGGGAGAGCCGGAAAAGTTTCTTGTATAGCCCCGGCTCTTAGAGCCAGGCTCTTCACCCTTATTTTCATAAAGCTGCGATGCATGCTTCATACATAATTGTGCATGTTGCTGCCTCCTTCTCCCAGCTGCCCGACGTGTCATCTATTCAGTATTCTTAAAGAAAAGAATTTTCAGCCAAGAATTTTATATCTAGCCAAAGTAAACTTCATAAGCAAATAAGAGCCTTTTCAGACAAGCAAGTGCTAAGGGAATTCATTAACACCAAATGCGTTACAAAAGATCCTGAAGGGAGTGCTAAATATAGGCAGGAAAGACTGCTGCCAGCCAGTACAAAAACATACTTAAGTACATGGACCTGTAATGCTATAAAGCTACCACATAACCAAGTCTGAATAATAAACAGCTAATAACGTGATGACAGGATGAAATCCATACATGTAAGTACTAACCTTGAATGTAAACAAGATAAATGCCCTCAAAAGACAGAGTGACAAGTTGGATAAAGAAGCAAAACTGTCTTCAAGGGACTCATGTGCAATGAAACCCATAGGCCCAAAACAAAGGGATGGAGAAAAATCTACCAAGCAAATGGAAACCAGAAAAAAAAAGGGGGTTGCTATTTGAATTTTGGACAAAACAGATTTTAAACTAAAAAAGATCAATAAAGACAAGGAAGAGCATTACATAATAGTAAAGGACTTAATTCAACAAGAAAACTTAACTATCCTAAATATATATGCACCTAACACAGGAGCACCTGGATTTATAAAGCAAGTTGTTAAAAACCAATGAAGACATTTAAATAACCACATAATAATAGTGGGAAACACTTAAGACCCCAGTGACAGTTTTAAATCATCAAAGCAGAAAACTAAGAAAGGTATTTGGGACCTTAATTCAACACTTGAACAAAGGGACCTATAGACATCTACAGAACTCTCCATCCAAAAACAACAGAATATACATTCTTCTCATCTGCACATGGCACATACTTTAAAATCAATAACACAATCAGCCATAAAAAATCTTCACCAAATTTTAAAAAACAGAAATTATACCAACCACATACTCAGACCACAGCACAATAAAAATAGAAATAAATGAGAAGAAAGTCACTCAAAACCATAGAAGTGCATGGAAATTAAATGACTTCATCCCAAATGACTTCTGGGTAAGTAATAAAATTAAGGCAGAAATAAAGAAATTATTTGAAACTAATGAGGAAAAAGATACAACATACCAGAATCTGTGGGATACAGCCAATGCAGTGTTAAGAGGAAATTTTATAGCACTAAATGTCCACATCAAAAAGTTGGAAAGATCTCAAATTACCAACCTAATATCACAACACATCAGAACTAGGGAAGCAAGAGCAAATCCACCCCGAAGCTAGCAGAAGAAAAGAAATTAGAAAATTAGAGCTGAGCTAAAGGAAATTGATGTAAAACACACACACACACCACACACACACACACACAAACACACACACACACACAAAAGACAAAGAATCCAGGAACTGGTTCTTTGAAAAAAAATAAGATAGATAGACCACTAGCTAGTCTAATAAAGAAAAAAAGAGAGAATATCCAAATAAACCCATCAGAAATGATAAATGGAATGTTACCATTACCCCACATAAATACAAATGCCCTCAGAGACTATTATGGACACTTCTATACACAGAAGCTAGAAAGCCTAAAAGAAATGGATAGATTACTGTAAACATACAACCTCCCAAGATTGAACCAGGAAGAGATTGAATCCTTAAACAGACAAACAATGAATTGTGAAATTGAATCAGTAATAAAAAGCCCACCAATCAAGAACAGATGAATCCATAGACAAAATCTACCAAATGGATAAGGAAGAGCTGGTACCATTTCTACCAAAATGATTCCAAAAGATTGAGGAGGAGAACCTCCTCCTTAACTCATTCTATGAGGCGAGCATCATCCTGATAACAAAACCTGGCAGAGACACAATGAAAAAAGTCAACTTCAGGTCAATATACTTAATGAACATCAGTGTAAAAATTCTCAACAAATTATTTGCAAGGTGAATCTAGCAGCACATCAAAAATCTAATCCACCATGATTAAGTATGCTTTATCCCTGGGATGCAAGTTTGATTCAACATATGCAAATCAAGAAATGTGATTCACCACATAAACTGTACTAAAAACAAAAACCACATAATTAACACAACAAATGTAGAAAAGGCTTTCAATAAAATTTAACATCTCTTTATGTTGCAAACCCTAAACAAACTAGGCATTAAAGGAACATAATTCAAAATAAAGAGGCATCTATGAAAAACTCACATCCAACATCATACTGTATCAACAAAAGCTGTAAGCATTTTCCTTGAAAACTAGAACAAGACAAGGATGCCCTCTCTCACCACTTCTATTAAACATAGTGTTGGAAGTCCTAACCAGAGCAATCAGGTAAGAGAAAGAAATAAAAGGCATCCAAATGGGAAGAGAGGAAGTCAAAATATCTCTGTTTGCAGATGACATGATTCTATACCTAGAAAACCTAATAGTCTCTGCCCAAAAGCTCCTTGATTTGATACACAACTTCAGTATAGTTTCAGGATACAAAATCAATGTACAAAAATTACTAGCATTCCTATACACCAACAGCATCCAAGCTGAGAGACAAATCAAGAACACAATCCCATTCACAATAGCCACAAAAAGAATGAAATACCTAAGAATACAGCTAACTAGGAAGCTGAAAAACCTATACAATGAGAATTACAAAACACTGCTCAAAGAAGTCAGAATGCCAAAAAGAAATGGAAAAACATTCCACGTTCATGAATAGGACAAATCAATATTGTTGAAATGGCCATACTGCCCAAACCAATTTACAGATTGAATGCTATTCATGTTAAACTACAAATGACATTCTTTACAGAACTAGAAAAAACTATTTTAAAATTTATATGAAATTGAGGGCCCAGGGCCCAGATGGGCCAGAAGTGGCCAGATGCAGGCAGGGTGGGCACCTGGACACCTGCCTTGGGTGCCTTGCTGCCCAGATGGTGGCAGTGGTGGCCACACATGCGGCCCAGCTTCTGTCCTCACGTTCCTCCAGCTCCCAGCCCCCACACCATGTCACCGCCTGTGCTGCCCACCGAGTTGGTGCCTTCAGAGTGCATTGTGGTGCTGCTGTCCTGTGCATTCTTTGTGCTCAGCTCAGGCCTGCTGGTGGCCATGTGCACCCTGTGGCCCGACCTGTGAAGCCAGGCACAGTGCCTGCTGCTCTTCCTGTCACTGGCCAACCTGCTCTCAGCTGCCTCCTACTTCTATGGGATGCTGCAGGACTTCGCAGGCTGTCATGGAACTGCATGCTGCAAGGTGTGCTGTCCACCCTCACCAACACCAGCTCATTCTTCTGGACTGTGGCCATCATACTATACCTGTACCTCAGGATCACTAGCACCGTGCAGGCCCTGCACCAACCATCTGCTCTGAGCCTTCCATGTCATCAGGTGATCTTGACTTTCCAGAGTTCAGCTGTTCTGAGATTGAAGTCAGGGGTGGAGGGCTGGTCTGGGGGTCTGGGAGTCCACCTGGAGTCTCTCTGAGAGTGAGGAAAAACCAAGACCTTACCCAGCAGTTCAAGCATCTTTCAAGTAAGCCTCACTGAAGAGGGTCAGCCCTTCCCTGGGGAATGTCAGGTTTTGAGAATCTCATGGCATTATGTGCTGAACTGTGGGCAAGAATCCTAGGGCTGTTTTCCTTTTCTCCTTCTCCCAGATCAGAGCATCAGATACTGCCCTAATTATAGGTCCTTTCTGTTAAAAATGTAAGTGCTTTCCAAGTGAGAGATGAGGCCGGCTGGACTTCCTGGGTCCAGCGGGGACTTTGGGGAACTTTCCTGTCTTACAAGAGGATTTGTAAACTCACCAATCAGTGCTCTGTAAAACATACCAATCAGCAGGATTCTAAAAGCAGCCAGTCAAAGGGAGGATTGAAAAAAGGGCACTCTGACAGGATAGAAACAGAACATGGAAGGGGACAATAAGGGAACAAAAACTGGCCACCCCAGCCAGCAGCAGCAACCCACTTGTGTCCCCTTCCACACTGTGGAAACCGTTCTTTTGCTCTTCACAATAAATCTTGCTACTGTTCACTCTTTGGGTCCTTGCCATCTTTAAGAGCTGTAACACTCACCATGAAGGTCTGCAGCTTCATTCTTGAAATCAGCAAGACCACAAACCCACTTGCAGGAACGAACCCCAGACACATCTTGGGGGCTCATCCAGGATATCACCACGTGGTGAGTACCATTGGACCCCTTTCACTTGCTATTCTGTCCTATTTTTCCTTAGAATTTGGGGGCTAAACACCAGGCACCTGTCAGCCAGTCAAAAGCAAATGGCACAGCTGCTGGACTACAGACACAGGTGTCAGACTTTTTGGGAAAGGGCTCTCTAACAACCCCCAACTCTTCGGAGTCAGGAGTGTTCATTTGCCTGGAACCAGCTTCTGCTTTCCCTGCACTTCTGGGCTGAGCTGAGGGTCAACAGAGAGGAAAACTAATCAGCTCCAGGGTCCCAACAAAAACTTGGTTGACCCTGCAGCTATGAGCAGAGCTCTCAAACTTATGTTGCCCAAGCGAGACTCACCCATCTGTCCTGTCTATCCTGACACTTGTCTCCTGGGTCCTAATGCCTGTCAGACAAACTTTCTCTCACCTCTCTTCTCCAAGGCTAGTCCTGCTTCTAAAAATCACTCCCTATCCCTGGTGCTTTTCTAGTTTCTCCTATAAGGATGATTTCTAATATAGATTTTGGGACTCTGTTCCCTTCTTCAGGCACCCAGGCTTACAAATCAGAAAGAGCCGAATTCTTCAACAGGAAATAGGTGCCCTGGGGCACATAATTTTTGCCCAGAGCCCTGTTGCAGGTGGAACTATCTGGAATTTTAGGATCCCTCCTCAGGCTAGCAGGCCTAACAAAGGCTATTCTTGAAGCTAGGATATGGGGAGTCTCAGAAATTATAGACTGCAAAATTGGGGGAATATCCTTCCTATTCATATGATGAGAAGTGAGGACAAAAGGCATCACTTTTCCAATCCTGGAGATCCCTTTCCTCCCTCAAGGTATGGCCCTCCACTCCATTTTGAGGCATATCATCTTTATAGGACAAGGTTAAGTTCCCAATACCAACAGGAGAAAATGCTTAGGACTCTAACAGGTTTTCAAGAATGCATCAGTAAGGGCCACTAAATCTGACCTTTCTTGGCCCTCTTTGTTGTCTAGGAGGAAAATAAGTGTTTCCACTGCTGCTTTGGTGAGCACAACTATTCTGAATAGTAGGGTCCAGGGACCATTGCAGGTTCTGGGGTGGGAAAAAACAGATCAAAACTGCAGGCGGTTTTTTGTTCTGTTTTAGATGGGAAACACTCAGGCATCAACGAGCTCACCCTTGAAATGCATCCTAAGCCATTGGGACCAATTTGACCCACAAACCCTGAAAAAGAAGCAGCTTATTTTTTTCTGCACTATAGCCTGGCTCCAATATTCTCTCCCTGATGGGGAAAAATGGCCACCTGAGGGAAGTATAAATTATAATACTATCCTGCATCTTGACCTTTTCTGTAAGAGGGAAGGCAAATGTTGTGAAATACCTTATGTCCAAGCTTTCTTTTTATTGAAGGATAATCCACAACTATGCAAAGCTTACAATCTATATCCCACAGGAAGACCTCTCAGCTTATCCCCATATTCTAGCCTTCCTACAGCTCCCCTTCCTATTAGTGGTGAGCCTCCTCTAATCTCCCCCACTGAGATGGAAACAAGCAAAGAAATATCCATGGGACCATAAAACCCCCAGGCTATTGGTTATGTCCCCTTCAAGCTGAAAGGGGAGGGGAATTTGGCCCAACCCAGGTACATGACCCCTCCTCCCTCTCTGATTTAAAGCAAATCAAGGTAGACCTGGGGAAGTTTTCAGATACCCTGATAGGTACACATATGTCCTACGGGGTCTAGGGCAAACCTTCAACCTCACTTGGAGAGCTGTCATGCTATTGTTAGAACAAACCCTGGCTTTTAATGAAAAGAATGTGGCTTTAGCTGCAGCCCAAGAGTTTGGAGATACATGGTATCTTAGTCAGGTTAATGATAGAATGACAGCTGAAGAAAGGGACAAATTCTCTACTGATCAGCAAGCCATAGCCAGTATGGATCCCCACTGGGACCTCCACTCAGGTCATGGGGACTAGGGTTGCAAATATCTGTTGACCTGTGTCAATGAAGAAGACTTAGGAAAAAGCCCATGAATTATTCAATGATGTCCACCATAACTCAGGGAAAGGAAGAAAATCCTACCACCTTCCTTGAGTGGCTACAGGAGGCCTTAAGACAATATACCCTCCTGTCACTTGATTCCCTCAAGGGTCAGTTGATCCTAAAGGATAACTTTATTACCCAATCAGCTGCAGATATCAGGAGAAAGCTCCTAAAGCTAGCCCTGGGTCCTGAACAAAATTTAGAGGCATTATTAAACCTAGAAATCTCAGTGTTCTATAAAAGGGACCAAGAGGAGCAGGCCAAAAAGGAAAAGTGAGATAAGAGAAAGGCCACAGCCTTAGTCATGGCCCTCAGACAAACAAACCTTGGTAGTTCAGAGAGGACAGGAAATGGAGCAGGCCAATCACCTGGCAGGGCTTGTTATCAGCGTGGGTTGCAAGGACACTTTAAAAAAGATTGTCCAGTGAGAAACAAGCCACCCCCTTGCCCATGTCCACTATGCCAAGGCAATCATTGGAAGGTGCACTGCCCCAGAGGACAAAGGCTCTCTGGGCCAGAAGCCCCCAATCAGATGATCCAACAACAGGACTGAGGGTGCCTGGGGCAAGTGCCAGCTCATGTCATCACCCTCAGTGAGACCCAGGTAAGTTTAACCACTGAAGGCCAGGAAATTCACTTCCTCCTGGACACTAGCGTGGCCTTCTCAGTGTTAATCTCCTGCCCTGGACGGCTTTCTTCAAGGTCCATTACCATCCAAGGAATCCTGGGACAGCCTGTAAACAGGTAGTTCTCCCACCTTCTCAGTTGTAATTGGGAGAATTTGCCCTTTTCACGTGCCTTTCTTGTTATGCCTGGAAGTGCCACACCCTTATTAGGGAGGAACATATTAGCCATTGCTATTATCTACATGAATATGGGGGACAAGTTACCCATTTGTTGTCCCCTACTTGAGGAGGGAATCAACCCTGAAGTCTGGGCATTGGAAGGACAATTCAGAAGGGCAAAAAATGCCCACCCAGTTCAAATCTAGCTAAAAGACCCCATCACTTTTCCTTATCAAAGGCAATATCCCTTAAGGCCTGAAGCTCGTAAAGGATTAAAGGATACTGTTAGACATTTAAAAGCTCAAGTCTTAGTAAGAAAATTCAGCAGTCCCTGCAACACCCCAATTCTAGGAATACAAAAACAAAATGGTCGGTGGAGACTAGTGCAAGATCTTAGACTCATCAATGAGGCAGTAATTCCTCTATATCCACCTGTAGCCAACCCCTATACACTGCTCTCTCAAATACCAGAGTCAGCAGAATGGTTCACTGTTCTGATCCTCAAGGATGCCTTCTGTATTCTCCTGCACTCTGACTCCCAGTTTCTCTTTGCCTTTGAGGATCCCACAGACCACACGTCCCAACTTACATGGACAGTCTTGCCTCAAGATTTTAGGGATAGCCCTCATCTCTTTGGTCAGGCACTGGCCCAAAATCTAGGCCACTTCTCAAGCCCAGGCACTCTGGTCCTTCAGTATGTGGATGATTTACTTTTGGCTACCAGTTTGGAAGCCTCATGCCAGCAGGCTACTCTAGATCTCTTGAACTTTGAAGCTAATCAAAGGTACAAGGTGTGTAAATCAAAGGCCCAGCTCTGCCTACAACAAGTCAAATATCTAGGTCTAGTCTTAGCCAGAGAACCAGGGCCCTCAGCAAAGAATGAATACAGCCTATACTGACTTGTCCTCACCCTAAGACATTAAAACAGTCACGGGGGTTCCTTGGGATCACCAGTTTTTGCCAACTATGGATCCCCAGATACAGCGAGATGGCCAGGCCACTCTATACTCAATCAAGGAGACCCAGAGGGCAAATACTCATCTAGTATAATGGGAACCAGAGGCAGAAACAGCTTTCAAAACCTTAAAGCAGGCCCTAGTACCAGCTCCAGCCTTAAGCCTTCCCACAGGACAAAACTTCTCTTTATACATCACAAAGAGAGTGGGAATAGCTCTTGGAGTCCTTACTCAGACTCAAGGGACAACCCCACAACCAGTGGCATACTTAAGTAAGGAAATTGATGTAGTAGCAAAAGGCTGGCCTCATTGTTTATGGTAGTTGTGGCAGTGGTCATGTTAGTATCAGAGGCTATCAAAATAATACAAGGAAAGGATCTCATTGTCTGGACAGCTCGTGATGTAAATGGCATACTAGGTGCCAAAGGAAGTCTATGGCTATCAGACAACTGTCTGCTTAGATACCAGGCACTACTCCCTGAGGAACTGGTGCTTCAAATATGCATGTGTGTGGCCCTCAACCCTGCCACTTTTCTCCCAGAGGATGGGGAACCAATCAAGCATGACTGCCAACAAATTGTAGCCCAGACTTTTGCTGTTCAAGAGGATCTCTTAGAGGTCCCCTTAGCTAATCCTGACCTTGCCCTATATATCGAAGGAAGTTCATTTATGGAGAATGGGATATGAAGGGCAAGTTATGCCATAGTTAGTGATGTAACAGTACTTGAAACTAAGCCTCTTCCCCTAGGGACCAGCACCCAGTTAGCAGAACTAGTGGTGCTTACCTGAGCCTTAGAACTGGGAAAGGAAAAAAGAATAAATGTATATACAGTATTTGTCCATTTCATCTAATAAATAATCTAATTTGTTTAATGGCAAAAAATGTATATACAGTTAGCAAGTATGCTTATCTAATTCTACATGCTTATGCTGCAATATGGAAAGAAAGGGAGTTCCTAACCTCTAGGGGAACCCCCATTAAATACCACAAGGAAATCATGGAGTTATTGCATGCAGTGCAAAAACCCAAGGAGGTGGCAGTCTTACACTGCTAAAGCCATCAAAAAGATGAAGGAGAAAAGGCAGAAAGAAACTGTCGGGCAGAAGCTGAGACCAAAATTGCTGCCAGGTGGAACCTCCCATTAGAAATACCTATGGAAGGACCCTCGGTATGGAACAACCCTCTCCAAGAAATTAAGCCCCAGTATTCCCGTCCAAAACAGAATGGGGACTTTCATGGGGGCATAGTTTTCTCCCCTCGGGGTGGTTAATGACAGAAGAGGGAAAAGTACTCATACCCGAAGCCAGCCAGTGGGAAATACTTAAGACCCTCTGCTAAACCTTTTATATGGGTATTGAGAACATTCATCAAATGGCCAAATCCCTATTTACACAGTCAATTCTCCCCAGACCATCCGGCAAGTAGTCAAAGCCTATGAGGTGTGCCAAAGGAATAATCCATTGGTCCATCATAAGGCTCCCCTCGGGGAAACAAAGAACAGGTCACTATCCTGGAGAGGATTGGCAGTTAGACTTCATCCATATGCCTAAATCAAGGGGATTTCAATACTTGGTATGTGTTGATACCTTTACAAATTGGATGGAAGCCTTCCCTTGCAAGAGAGAGAAAGCTCAGGAAGTGGTTAGTCCTAATTCATGAAATAATTCCTAGATTTGGGCTTCCCCAAAACTTACAAAGTGACAATGGTCCGGCTTTTAAAGCCATGATAACTCAGGGAATTTCCAGGGCACTAGGGATACAATATCACCTTCAGTGCACGTGGAGGCCACAAACCTCAGGGAAGGTTGAGAAAGCAAATGAAACACTCAAGAGGCACTTAAGGAAACTAACACAAGAAACTCATCTCCCATGGCCTACTTTCTTGCCCATGGCCTTGTTGAGAATCTAAAATTCCCCTCACAAAATGGGGCTCAGTCCATATGAAATGCTGTATGGATGACCTTTTCTCACAAATGACCTCTTACTTGATCAGGAAATGGCCAACTTGGTCAAAGACATAACTTCTTTGGAAAAATACCAACAAAACATTAAAAACCTACCTGAAGGACATCACAGAGAAAAGGGAACAGAGTTGTTCCAACTGGGAGATCTAGTGTTGGTCAAGTCCCTTCCCTCTACCTTCCCATCTATGAATTCCTTGTGGGAAGGACCATACTCAGTAATCCTCTCTACTCCCACTGCAGTTAAGGTAGCAGGAGGGGAATCTTGGATTCACCACACCCGAGTTAAACTTTGGACACCCCCTGAGGAACCTGCAGGACCATCAGATCAGGAGTCCCAAGATCAGCCAGACCAGCCTCAATACACCTGTGAACCATTGGAGGACTTGCGTCTCCTATTTCAGAAGGAAACATCCCAAACTAAAAAGGCTCCTTCAGCTGATCCTGAGGAAAAACCCCTTCCTACTTAAAAAAGTTAAGTGAAAACCTACATAATCTTTAACACCTCTCCTTGCCCCTTTAATGGAATCCTTTTACTGTTTCATCACATTATTAGGCAGTATACTAAACATACTCTTTGCAGTAGGATTATATACTGTAGCTTCTGCCGGGATGAAAATCCTAATCACATCAACCTTTTTTCTATCATCCTTCGTTCTGATGGCAATTTAATCCTACCTTTAACTCAGACTGGATAAAAAGACCTCATCTTCCAGGGAACCCTCTTTACCTTTCTACTTACACTTTGTCTATATAACCCTCCTGCTTCCTTGGATACCCCACATAGTCACCCCTCCCCTTCCACTGGCTCCTAATTACCTCTACAAGACTCTCAACTTAACCCACTCTCTGTTAAACCAGTCCAATCCTTCCCTGGCAAATGACTGTCGGCTTTGTATCTCTCTATCAGCCACTGCTTATGTTGCCACTCTCGTTCCCACAAAAAACTGGGTCTTTATTAACTTAACCTACCACTCCCATTATGAAGGAAGAGACCCTTTCCAACTTCTAAATATGCAATCATTAGCTGACTTCCCCATCTCTGATAGGAACAAAGCAGGGCACACAATCCAGCGTTTACACTCTTACATTTCCAACCTCACCTATTGCTCCTCACAGGAGCAGTGAAAAGCACATACACAGCCCTGTAACCAGGAATACCATCTAATTTTCCAAGCCCCTTTATGCATCCAACTCAACCTGTTATCAGGCCTGCCCCTGGGGCACCTATTATCCCATCAGTGTAATTACACCCTACAACTTCAAGCCCCAACTGATCATAGTAACTTCCGAGTCACCCAAACAGCTCCATTCAGATGGCTTTTCTGCTTCTCAGGATCCCCAAAAATCATCACCTTCTCCCTGCTTAACAAACAGTCTGGGTTTTGTAATGGCAAACACATTCCCTGCATGACCATTCTCCTCTGGACCCCCTGCAGCAGTGTCCCCAACACTAGCAAATGCCTTCTCATCCCCTCTTTCAATTACTCTCTTGAATGGTTCCTAGTAGATACAAAATGATTTTATCTCCAGTGGGAAAATGGAACACAGGGAGCCACTCAGTTTCCTCCCAACACCCATTTCCAGCCGCTCACCAAAGCTACCTTCGCGAGTACTCTAAGAGTATGGGAAAATGAAAACAACAAATTCACACACCTTTTTAACATACACAACCAGTTCTGTCTACCCAGCCAAGGCATATTCTTCTTATATGGAACTTCAACCTATATCTATCTGCCTCCCCACCAAACGGACAGGCACCTGCACCTTAGTCTTCCTAAGTCCCACCATTGACATCGCCCCAGGAAATCAGACCCTATCAGTGCCCCTCAAGGCTCAAGACCATCAGTGCAGGGCCATAAAACTAATACCCCTACTTATAGGGTTAGGAATGGCCCCTGCTACAGGAACCAGAATAGCCAGTTTATCTACTTCACTATCCTATTACCACGCACTCTCAAAGGATTTCTCTGACAGTGTGCAAGAAATAATGAAATCTATCCTCACTCTACAGTCCCAAATAGACCCTTTGGCAACAGTGACTCTCCAAAACTGCCGAGGCCTAGACCTCCTCACTGCTGAGAAAGGAGGACTTTGCACCTTCTTAGGGGAAAAGTGTTGTTTTTACACTAACAATTCAGGGATAGTATGAGACGCCACCTGGCATTTGCAGGAAAAGTCTTCTGAAATCAGACAACACCTTTCAAACTTTTATACCAACCTCTGGAGTTGGGCAACATGGCTTCTCCCCTTTCTAGGTCCTGTGAGAGCCATCTTGCTATTACTTGCCTTCAGGCCCTGTATTTTTATTTTTTTATTTTTTTTTTTTAATTTTTTTTTTTTATTATACTCTAAGTTTTAGGGTACATGTGCACATTGTGCAGGTTAGTTACATATGTATACATGTGCCATGCTGGTGCGCTGCACCCACTAACGTGTCATCTAGCATTAGGTATATCTCCCAATGCTATCCCTCCCCCCTCCCCCGACCCCACCACAGTCCCCAGAGTGTGATATTCCCCTTCCTGTGTCCATGTGATCTCATTGTTCAATTCCCACCTATGAGTGAGAATATGCGGTGTTTGGTTTTTTGTTCTTGCGATAGTTTACTGAGAATGATGGTTTCCAATTTCATCCATGTCCCTACAAAGGACATGAACTCATCATTTTTTATGGCTGCATAGTATTCCATGGTGTATATGTGCCACATTTTCTTAATCCAGTCTATCATTGTTGGACATTTGGGTTGGTTCCAAGTCTTTGCTATTGTGAATAGTGCCGCAATAAACATACGTGTGCATGTGTCTTTATAGCAGCATGATTTATAGTCCTTTGGGTATATACCCAGTAATGGGATGGCTGGGT
Source organism: Homo sapiens (assembly GCF_000001405.40). Lineage (NCBI taxonomy): Eukaryota > Metazoa > Chordata > Mammalia > Primates > Hominidae > Homo > Homo sapiens. The sequence goes on from NT_187628.1 coordinate 162,285, forward strand.
CAAATGGTATTTCTAGTTCTAGATCCCTGAGGAATCGCCACACTGACTTCCACAATGGTTGAACTAGTTTACAGTCCCACCAACAGTGTAAAAGTGTTCCTATTTCTCCACATCCTCTCCAGCACCTGTTGTTTCCTGACTTTTTAATGATTGCCATTCTAACCGGTGTGAGATGATATCTCATAGTGGTTTTGATTTGCATTTCTCTGATCAGGCCCTGTATTTTTAACATCCTTGCCAAATTTGTTTCCTCTAGGATTGAAGTCATCAAGCTACAGGTGGTCTTACAAATGGAACCCCAAATGAGCTCAACTCACAACTTCTAACGAGGACAACTGGATTGACCCACTGGCCCTTTGACTGGCCTAGAGAGTTCCCCTCTGGAGGACACTAAAACTGCAGGGCCCCTTCTTCACCCCTATCCAGCAGTTAGTAGCTAGAATGGTCATTGCCCAGTTCCCAAGAGCAGCTGTGGTGTCCTGTTTAGAGGGCTATTGAGAGGTGAGGCCAGCTGAACTTCCTGGGTCAAGTGGGGACTTGGGGAACTTTCCTGTCTTACAAGAGGATTGTAAAATGCACCAATCAGTGCTCTGTAAAACACACTAATCAGCTCTCTGTAAAACACATCAATCAGCACTCTGTAAAACACACCAATCAGCACTCTGTAAAACGCACCAATAAGCACTCTGTAAAATGCACCAATCAGCAGGATCCTAAAGGTAGCCACCTTTCACTCTTCACAATAAACCTTGCTACCACTCACTCTTTGGGTCCTTGCCATCTTTAAGAGCTGTAACACTCACCGTGAAGGTCCACGGCTTCATTCTTGAAGTCAGCAAGACTGTGAACCCACTGGCAGGAACCAACTCTGGACACACAAGGACTGCGAGCACAGTCAGCACTTTGGCAGAGAAAGGTCACCTGGATGTTACATGGCGAGGCTACAGGGTTGTAAGGGTCACTTTACCTTCAGCTCTGCACTGAGGCTGGCTAGTCCTTGAGAAACTAAGTGACCTGCTTCTCAGCTGTGCAAGTAAAAAATCTTGGCAACACATCATCCAAACCATGGCTCAGCTGCTGCAGGGCCCCACAGAATAGGGCCCTGCCTTTCCTTCCCATCAGCATCCCATCTGACCCTGTCTGAGTCCCATGATGGCTGGCTGGGTGTGGGCAGCATGTACACGGGAGATCATGGGTGCTTGAAAGAAGTCGAGGCTGTACCTTTCTTTGCAAGAACCTGTTCTCTTTCCCTCCTTGTTTTTAAAAATATTCAATACAGTATAATTTTATAATGATAACAGAACCTGGTCCGACTTCTGTGGAAAAGGATTGATCAACAAGCCTGAGTTGGGGGTTTTTCTGTTCAGTTCGTATTAGGGCCCCTCTAGGGGAGTTTTCTGTGTTGTTTAGGAAGGGCTTCTTTCATAAAGAAGTAGGCCCAGTGTGGTGGCTTGCACCTGTAATCCCAACATTTTGGGAGGCCGAGGCAGGAGGATTGCTTGAGCCCAGGAGTTCGAGACCAGCCTGGCCACCATAGTGAGACTTTGTTCTCTACCAAAAATTTAAAAATTAGCTGGGCATAGTGGCGCATGCCTGTAGTTCCAGCTACTTGTGAGGCTGAGGTGGGAGAATCGCTTGAGCCTGGGAGGTCGAGGCTGCAGTGAGCTATGACTGCAACACTGCACACAGCCTGGGCTACAGAACAAGACACTGTCTCACAAAAAGAAAAAACAAGCAACTTATTCATTTTTTGTGTTGAATGTGACCCACGTGCATCTTAAAAGAAAATAAAATTCCTGTATCCAAGCTAAAAAAAAAAATTATATGAAATCGAAAAAGAACCCAAATAGCCAATACATTCCTAAGCAAAAAGAACAAAGCTGGAGCTATCACATTACTAACTTCAGACTATACTACAAGGCTACTGTAACCAAAACAGCATAGTACTGGTACAAAAACACATAGACCAATGAAACAGGATATAGAGCCCAGAAATAATGTGACACACCTGCCAAAATCTGATCATTGACAAAATTGACAAAAACAAACAATGGGGAATAGTCTCTCTATTCAATAAATGGTGCTGGGATAACTGGCTAGCCATATGAAGAAGATTGAAACTGGGTGCCTTCCTTACACTATATATAAAAATTCACTTCAGATGTATTAAAGACTTAATTCTAAAACCAAAAACTATAGAAACCCTGGAAAACAACCTAGGCAATACCATTCTGGATATAATACCTGGCAAAAACCTCATGACAAAGACACAGAAAAAAATTGCAAAAAAAAAAAAAACAAAAAAAAACAAAAAAAAAAACTGGGGTTGGCTGGCTAGATGGCCGAATAGGAACAGCTCTGGTCTACAGCTCCCAGTGAGATCAAAGCAGAAGGTGGGTGATTTCTGCATTTCCAACTGAGGTACATGGCTCATCTCATTAGGACTGGTTAGACAGTGGATGCAGCCAATGGAGGGTGAGCCGAAGGAGGGTGGGTCGTCACCTCACCTGGGAAGTGCAAGGGGTCGAGGAACTCCCTCCCCTAGCCAAGGGAAGCCATGAGGGACTGTGCCATGAGGAAGGGTGAATTTTGGCTCAGATACTATGCTTTTCCCACAGTCTTCACCACCCACAGACCAGGAGATTCCCTCGGGTGCCTACACCACCAGGGCCCTGGATTTGAAGCACAAAACTGGGTGGCCATTTGGGCAGACACCGAGTTAGCTGCAGTTTTGTTTTGTTTTGTTTTGTTTTGTTCATACCCAGGTGGTGCCTGGAATTCCAGATAGACAGAACAGTTCATTCTGATGGAAAGGGGGCTGAAGCCAGGGAGCCAAGTGGTCTAGTTTAGCAGATCCCACCCACATGGAGCCCAGCAAGCTAAGATCCACTGGCTTAAAATTCTTGCTGCCAGCACAGCAATCTGAATCAACTTGGGATGCTCAACCTTGGTAGCGAAAGGGGCATCTGCCATTACTGAGGCTTGAGTAGGCAGTTTTCCCCTCACAGTGTAAACAAACCCACTGGGAAGTTCAAACTGAGCAGAGCCCACCACAGCTCAGCAAAGCTGCTGTAGCCACATTGCCTCTCTAGATTCCTCCTCCCTGGGCAGGGAATCTCTGAAAGAAAGGCAGCAGCCTCAGTCAGGGGATTCTAGATAAAATTCCCATCTCCCCTGGGACAGAGTACCTGGGGGAAGATGTGGCTGTGGGGACAGCTTTAGCAGACTTAAATGTTTCTGCCTGCCAGCTCTGAAAAGAGTAGCAGATCTCCTAGGGCAGCACTCAAGCTCTGCTAAGAAACTGACTGGCTCCTGAAGTAAGTCCCTGATCCCCATGGCTTCTGACTGGGAGACACCTCCCAGCAGGAGTCGACAGACACCTCATACAAGAGAGCTCCAGCTGGCATCTCGTGGGTGCCCCTCTGGGACAAAGCTTCCAGAGGAAGGAACAGGCAGCAATCTTTGCTGTTCTGCTGCCTCCGCTGGTGATACCCGGGCAAACAGGGTCTGGAGTGGACCTCCAGCAAAATCCAGCAGACCTGCAGCACAGGGAACTGACTGTTAGAAGGAAAACTAACAAATGGAAAGGAATAGCATCAATATCAACAAAATGGACGTCCACACAGAAACCCCATCCGAAAATCACCAACACCAAAGACCAAAGGTAGATAAATGCATGAAGAGAAGAAAAACCAGCACAAAAAGGCTGAAAATTCCAAAAACCAGAATGCCTCTTCTCCTCCAAAGGATCACAACACCTTGCCCACAAAGGAACAAAACTGGACAGAGAATGAGTTTGACGAATTGACAGAAGTGGGTAATAACACTTCATAAGACTTCATAAGGTGGGTAATAACAAACTCCTCCGAGCTAAAGGGGCATGTTCTAACCCAATGTAAGGAGGCTAAGAACCATGAAAAAAGGTTAGAGGAATTGCTAACTAGAATAACCAGTTTAGAGAAGAATATAAATTACCTGATGGAGCTGAAAAACACAGCACAAGAACTTCATGAAGCATACACAAGTATCAATACCAAATTGATCAAGCGGAAGGAAGGATATCAGAGATTGAAGATCAACTTAGTGAAATAAAGCATGAAGACAAAATTAGAGAAAAAAGAATAAAAAGGAATGAACAAAGCCTCCAAGAAATATGGGACTATGTGAAAAGACCAAACCTATGTTTGATTGGTCTACATGAAAGTGACATGGAGAATGGAACCAAGTTGGAAAACTCTCTTCAGAATATTATCCAGGAGAATTTCCCCAATCTAGCAAGACAGGCCAACATTCAAATTCAGGAAATACAGAGAAAACCACAAACATATTCCTCGAGAAGAGCAACCCCAAGAAACATAATCATCAGATTCACCAAGGTTGAAATGAAGGAAAAAATGTTAAGGGCAGCCAGAGAAAAAGGTCGGGTTACCCTCAAAGGGAAGCCCATCAGACCAACAGC